>NC_000006.12:61398261-61701291 GCF_000001405.40 Homo sapiens | reverse complement strand
CTTAGTAAAGTTCTGTTCACTTTTGTTTCATCTTGTAAAATGACCATTCTTATTTGAGCTCTTATAATTTGTAAACCTTTCTAAAAAGTAGCAAGGATCACCAATAGTTGGGCTTTGTTCAACATTTTTCTCGAGCAAAGTATATCCAGGCCCATAGCCTGCTTTCCAAGTTGTCACTGGCAATGGCATAACAAGGGCCATCAGTTTTTCACCCTAAAGTATTTTTTTCTTTGCACCCACCACCCTCCCACTAAGATAATGCCCTATAGTTTGGGATATAAATGGTAATTCCACATTTCTACATAGTTATTCCTGTATTCATCTACTCTGTTGTAACAGAGGCTCAAAATTCAGTGACTCAAATAATATTTTTAAAATGTATTTTTCTCTTAACAATCCCCGAGGCAAGCAGTAGTGTAAAATAAGTCTGCTCCATGTGATCTTTTAGAGGCAGAGGTACCTCCCGTGTTGCAACTGATGACTTCTTAAGGCATTGTCTTTGTTTGCATTGCAGATACTAGATCATCACTTTGAATGCCTTCTACCAACTGAGAAGGTAAATGTGCACAAGCCCAGGATGAGGAGATTATTCTTAAACGGGAAAGGATCTTAATTTACACTCCCATCTCTGCACACATCCCATGTGTCCTAACTTAGTCACGAGGGCACATCTAGCTGAAAGGGTGGCACATCTAGCTGAAAGGGTGTATTCACTATTAGTGCAGCCATTTGTCCAAGTAAACATTTATCTATGGAAGAAATGAGAAGTTATATTTTAATAATCTAAGGTATAGACTGTGGCAGAGTCCATTTTGATTATTATACATCATTTTCCATTATCTTCCATTATTTTACAAATATCTAGTATGCTCTGTTCTCCCTTGTTTAGAGTTCTGAAAGTTAAAATTCCCTCTTGCTGTGTATGTATCACTTATGATAGACAATAACTGTGCTTCTTTATCATATTCTCTCCCACTACTGTTCTTTTTCTGTCTCTTATCTTAAGCAATTAAAATAAAAAGTGAGAAACATATTAATACCACTTGATGCTGTTATAGTGCTACATAGCACACTTTGGGGAACATGATCGGGGCTTACTCATAGAAAATGTATTGATGATGACAAGGGAAGGAGAAGCTTCCCTTAATGCCAGCATTTTCCTCTATGCTGCTATAAGTGGGACTGCTGCTTGTTAAATTATTTTCTCATGAAGTCCACCTCTTAATCATTTAAGGAATCAATTTAACAACTCTCAGGAATTTGCTACCCCTATATGAGGACTCTGAGTTGGGTTGCATCATTTTTATCATGTCAAGTATGTGAAAGAAGAGATACACATCCAGATTCCAGCCAATGCCATTAGCCTTCTACAATCTCAAGTCATTCGAAGGATGAAGAGAACACATTACCATAATTTTTTAGACAGTTTGAATGTAAACATGTTGGGCAGTGAGGGCTGAGCTAGGCAATCATTTTTTCGGCTTCTTTACACTTATGTTGAAGTTTATGCATTATAAATTGCCTCCAAGGAAGATAAGGATGACCAAAGTTCTCTCTGCCCCTCTTTTTATCTCTGATATATAGACTTTTCTTTTCTTTTTCTGCTTCTCTTGCTTTACTATCAATAAAATCAAAAGTACTTAAAATAATGAGACCTATGGAATTGCTTTGTGGGATAATAATAACCACATTCAGAGAACATCTAATTTTAGGCCCTTCTGTCGTTCCTTCCATCCTAACCCTTTGGCATCTATCCCCTACCCTCAGCCCTTATATGATTTGGTTTTTGATATTCAGCCATTGTCTTGATACACTTTTATATAGTTAAAATGAATTACTGACCTTGAGGTAACTTATAAATTAAGAATTATATAGGGGGGCAATGCTTGACATCTAACTTTAAACCAAGAAGTGTATTTGAAGGAAAATATAATGTATCATCAATATTTATAGATCCCTCAGTAAGATTAAAAATACATGAATTAGCCCAATAATAATTAAATTAAATTAAATTTCTCTTTTGCATGTTATTTTTTTAAATTGTGACGTGGTTTTATTAGGCTACTCAATTAAATGGTGTCTGGGCTTCCTATGAGTAATTTATTCTATTGTCCTATAAATATTCATTGAGCAGCTCTTATGTGCCAAACTTTGTTCTAGAAAATCTGCTTGGAACAACGACAGCAAATGAATAAATGAAATAAATGAGAGACCAATTTTCTATAACAAGAAGTTTATATTCTAGAAGAGGGGAACAGCCAATAAATAAATAAGCAAATGGGTGTTTGTGTGTTTGTTTATATAATATGTATGGTGATGATCAATGAATGCTAAGGTGAGCAAAGCAAGGTAGGTGGTCCCTGGTCTAAATAGACTGATCAGGGAAATCTCTCATAAGTGACATTTGAGTGAGCTCTGAAAGAATGGGAAAAGGGACAATTGGACATTTAGAGAAAGCCTGTTTCAGGTAGGAGAAACAGCAAATGAAAAAGCCCTGAGGCAGTAATGTGTTTGTAATGTTCAGAGAACATCTAGGAGGCCATGCCCCCTGAGTAGGGTGAGTGAGCAAGGAGAAAGTGTTAGAGCATGAGGTCTGAGAAATACAAGGGGGGGACAAATGGTGTAAGCAAAATAAGAATTTTTTATTTTTCTCCTAAAGACTATGGGGAAGCTATTTGTGAATTTTGAGTAGGGAGCTAATATGATCTAACTTACTTCTATAAGAATGACTTTGACTGCTACATCGATAATAGAAACAGAGCAATCAGGGCCTAGAAACCACTTAGAAGGATAGCATACTCATTTAAATGAGAGATAGTAATAACTTTAACTCAGTGATAGCTGTGGATATGTTTAGACGTGTTCAGATTCTGGATATATTTTGCAATTCGAAGTGAATTTGCTATTAGATAGAACATTAGGACCAGATGAGACTGCCTAGGGAGTAAGTATGAATAGAAAAGAGAAACATTCAACTGAGCCCTAGTGGTCTCCAGGAATAAGTGATTGGAAAAATGAGAAGGTAACCATAGGGAAAAATGAAGAAATGAAGTGCACTTGAAGACCCATGAAAGAGGAGATATCTGAAGCAAGTGAAATGTTTGCAGAATCATGAAATAATCAACTGTGTTAAATGGTGCTAAAGTAAAATGAACACTAAGTCTTGACCATTGAATGTGAAAATGTTAAGATCTTGTCAAGAGCTGTTTCAGTGGAGCAGTGGAACGACAGCCTGATTGTCTTCAAATGCCTATGGAGAAGAGTCAGTGAAAAGAGTGAGTAAAGTCACTTCTTTTCAAGAAATGGGATAGTTGCTAGAAGGAATTATGTGGATGAGGCAGAGCTTTTTACGGATAAGAAACACGTAAGACTTTGGAGTGCTAATAGGCATTATGCCTTAAAGGGGGAAGTGGATGCAGCAGGAAACAGTGAGGACAATTGTAAAGGGGTAGCAGAGTGAGTCAGAGAGAGAGTTTCCTTTGAGTAAGAAATGGAGGAAGAACACCTTTGACAGTTATTGAAATATGGAAGCATCTAGCAAAATATCGAGTGAAACAAAATAGCTTATATATTTGGGGAGTGCACAGACATGATGTAAAAGGGATAAAGGGGATTATAAATACAGTTTAGTGTTTCAAAGTGAAAAAATGATGCATATTTCTTAAGATAACAGCATTAAAAGCTATACATGATTGACCAGATTGTCATCTTAGAGAGCACTTTTTCTTGGAAATAGGCCTTTTATAACTCTCTTCTTGACAGATTTTGAAGTGTTATACTTGTGTTTTAGGGGAAATTTGATTTATCAAATTGGTGGATAGAGAGAAAGAAATACTGAGATGGCATTAAAAAAAATCATAGCACTCCTTGTCAATAACCTGTGTTTTTCTTACTGAAGATTTATTTAGGATTGTGTTTTATGCCTTGAAGTTCCTGGAATATTACCTCAGCACACATTTTGCCTTCAAATTCCATATGAGTTTCTGGGTTGAATTTCCTGGTTATAGTAACATTGATTGCTATCTAAATTTGTTGCAGTGTGCCTGAATACTATGACTACGGTCATGGAGTAAGTGAGGATGCCTATGACAGCTACGGTAAGACCTTTTCTTTACTAAAACTGTGAAATCGGAACATCCATCAGTCACCGACAATTCAAACATTATTTCCATCTTTCTCCCCCTAGTTTTTCCAGAAGTCTAGACTAAATTGATTCATGTAATTCCAGGGTGAGATTTGACTTACACAGCTAGTACCAGAAAATTAGACAGATCAATTTTGATCAAAATTTTAAAAGCAATTAATCACAATCATAAATCATTTTCAACAGCAACAGTGATCATTCTGAATAGCGTCTTGTATGTTTAACTGTGTTCATTGTCTGACTCATTGATTTGGCAACAATATTGTGTCTTTTCTGCTGTCAAAAGATCATCAGAGTAACATACATTTAAAATATTTACAAACTTTAAGGGCAGAAATTGTTACTATAAAATAACTCTCAAGTTATTTTTCTAGCATGCATAGCCAAATAATGCTTGGCTCAAAAAAATTGATAGTCAATAAGGATGTCAGTCTATAAAATCAATTTATTTAAAAAATATATTCCTTAATTAAAATGCCACTTAAAATTAATCATAATTATACTCAGTTAAGATCTATTGAATTTCTATGATATATCAATACAGTACATCATGTTTGAGACATAGTTTGCGATTCTTTAAAATACATATGTGGCCGGGCGTGGTGGCTCACCCCTGTAATCCTGGCACTTTGGGAGGCTGAGGCGGGCGGATCACGAGATCAGGAGAGTGAGACCATCTTGGCCAACATGGTGAAACCCCGTCTCTACCAAAAATACAAAACAAATTAGCTGGGCATTGTGGCGCATGCCTGTAATCTCAGCTACTCGGGAGGCTGAGGCAAGAGAATAGCTTGAACCAGGGAGTTGGAGGTTGCAGTGAGCCGAGATCGTGCCACCGCACTCCAGCCTGGCAACAGAGCGAGACTCAGTCTCAAAAATAAATAAATAAATAAATAAATAAATAAATAAAATACATATATGGCATCACTAGCTGACCACCTTGAAAAATGTTACTAATTTAAATATTTATAGTCTTGAATTTTTATTAAAATAATACCAAGGCTGCTTGGCATTGGTGCATGACTGTAGTCCTAGCTACTCCAGAGGCTGAGACAGGAGGATTGCCTCAGCCCAAAAGTTTGAAGCCATAATTGTGCAATGATCATGCCTGCGAATAGCCACTGCACTCCAGCCTAGGCAACATAGTGAGACCCGGTCTCTAACAAAAATAAATAAATTAAATAATACCATGTTCACTTTATTCCTCTCTGTGGGGAAGAGAAAAGGAAACAATGGTTATTGCTGTGTTTGGGGCTTCATATGATGCTGCATCAGGCTGGCGAAGGGCACGTCCTGATGCTGAGAGGAAAGGAAGAAGAGTATCTTCCTTAAAACCAGTCATAAACTGACTAACACAAGGCCAAGCCCAGAAATAGGAGGAGAAAAATAAGCCACCACCACAATTATTGCTAACCATGGGCTGATTAGTTACAGATATTTTGTATTTATTTCTTTAAAGTAAATTGAAATATTAAGTATTTTTATCTCCATTTTTATGAGGAAACTGAACAACAAAGGTGAAGTCAATGTGAGAGTATGGCTATGAAGCTCAACTTCTGTTCTTATATTCTCATCGGTGGTTGAAATACTATTAATTGCTGCTACCACACATGGAGTACCTATTATGGCTCTGTACTAAGCATTTTATAATAAGGATTAGCAATTGCAGAAGTAATCCTTATAGAAATTATACATCTATCTATTTGTTTACTCTAACCTCCATTAGAATCCTCTAGAGAAGGATGGGAAACAGATAAGACTTTGGGATGCACACTTATATTGTCATCTGCATTTTTCAGGTGAGAAACTAAGACTGAGAGCATTAAGTACCTTGCCTCAGTTCAACAATTTGCCAGTAACAGAACAAGAATGTGAATTCAAGTGTGTCTGATTATTTGGGGGTTTGTTTGTTTGTTTGTTTGTTTTGTCAGGAGGTGGGAGCAGGGTTCAGTAGACTTGGTAAAAAGAACAGGATGTGGTACTTTAAACCTGAGTTTGTTTAAAGGAAAGGCGTTCAGCTTCCTTCCTAAATCCTAAATCGTCCTTCCTAAATTAGGATTTCTCAAAATGCTATCACTTGCTATTTCACTATTTTAAGGGGAAGGAGATCTTTTATACTATTTTTCAGGAAAAAAAGTAAATAATTAATCCAAAATGAGCACCAGGCTTACTCTCTCCCAAATCTAAGTTTCTCTAGCACTAATCAAATTAACCTAATATTTTGCTGTTATAGGAGACAGAACTATTTTCCAAAACAAATTAACATAATTTCAGAAATTATTTCACAGAAATACAAGTGATGAACAAGTCTGCACAGTTCTGGCTCAGTTGATAAGCTGCCATAGGAAGTGCAGCTATAATTTTGTTCCTTATATAATTTCCACTCATTGGAAGGAAGGGGTCAAAGGCATTAGATGGTATTTAATAAAAACACTAGCATCCAAATCCCAGGCTGTCTCCAAAGCCACACCAGGGGCCAGCCAGGCTGAGGTGTAAGATTGCCTAGCATTTTAGAGCATCCACACCTGCCCCTGCAGCACTCTTTGAGTTCAACACAAAAATAAATATATTTCTATTGTTCCAAGCACATTCTTAATCATATAGGAATGAGGCCGCAAGCCTTGTACAATTGGTTACACAGGATGATCAATGAATAAGACACAAACTGGGCCTTTCTTTAATTCATTGAAAATTTGCATATAGGTATCACTAGTCTCTGAGAACATGATGATGTACAGGGTGGACATTGTCCCTCCTTGGTTTCTGCTATTTGGTGTTGAGAAACTTACAACTACATATAAAAGTTTGCACCAGATTTTAAACCATTTTAAGTAATAATTTTATACACGTTTAGAGAACATTACTCATTTAACAAGTATTTACTTAATGGCTAACACATGTAAGCCATTGATCTCAATCTTAGAGATGTTGTAGTGAACAATCTCTTGAAGCTTATGTTCTGATGAGAAGGCATATTATTATTTGTAAGTAGTCATTTTTTGAAAAATCAAACTTTTACTTGCAAAATACAATCATTTTTTACACTTGCTACATCAATTTGAGGAAAATCATGCTCATGAGCTTCACAGAATTACATGCACTGAGATCAAAGGAAAGGATAAATTTGATGATATCTGGCAGGATCACTGGTGATAAGAGATGAGATTTCTATTTCGGAATTATTTACATTTTGAAATGTCAATGCCACGTAATGCTATTGGAAAAAGTGTTTAAATACAACTCTTGCTTCTCAAGCCTTTTAATGGAGATGCAAGGGTTATGGTCTGGAGGGCCAGGGCTCACCTCTATAATCCCGAGTCTTATATTGTACTTTCTTTGTAGTCTGGTTCTCCTGCTGTTGCAAAGTCTAGAGAGAAGTAATGCATTTTACTTTAGGAGAACTAACTGCTCATAAGCACTAAATTTCATTCTGGGCCAAATTACCACTTACCAACAAGAAATTTTCTGCACATAGAAAGTAGCCAATAAATTCTTCATAATAAAGTAATAAGGAAAATGTAGAAAGGGATTTTACTGTCTGAACAGAATAAGGAAGATATTAATTAGGCAGCAATTTTTACCTAATAACTTGTATTTACCTATTTTACTAACTAAATTTCATTCCTCTTTTTGCACAGCCAAAAACTAAAGTACTTGCTCTAGATTCATATGGTCATGAGATTTGAATTTTGAGAATCTTCTTGCTCTCATATCCTATGCAGGCAATAGAGCAAGGACAAAGTAAGAGGACAAAGAATAGTAAGAGCTCAGCACCATAACCTTGCAGCCCAATTAAATTAATATGCATTATGTGCACTCAGATTGTGGTATTAGATATCATGTAGTAGGATATTAGGTATTAGGTAGTTGGTGATAAGTTGCTTATAATAAAATATCCAAATAGGCAGATGATAAAATGTAAATACAGATGATGAGCAGTGATTTGAGGACCCACACAAGTCAAATATCAATTGATTATTTTTATTAATTGTCCATACTTTACATATTAACTATTATCTATTTATAATTTATCTTTAGTCAATGGTACACAATATTTTAAATCAATAATAGTTATTCCAAAATATAAATCTCATATCTCCAGTTATTCATTCACTTTCATGCTGAATCAGTAACTCCTCTGTGTTACATTGTGGTCGTATCGTAGACTGATACTAAATTCCAATGGAATGTCTGTATTTTTACAAAACTAATAGCCTCAATTTTTAGTTTCCTGGCAACCCCCTAGACTTGGAGAGTTATGTGAGGAGTCTCAGAGTCAGTTGTCCCAGGCACCTTCCTCTGCAGCTCACATTGGCAGGAAGAACTGTGGGGACAAGTGAAGGCATTGGGAGAGGAAGAAGGAATGCTCTCCCGAATGGCAGGGTTCTGCATTCCAAAGACTCAGAGATGGAGCTTCTCATTTGGACTTCCTCTAGAAATGATTTGAAATAAGCCAGCAGAAATAAAAATTCAGTCCTTCAGTGGGACACTTCATTCTAAATCTTCATACATTATGTTTTGTGTATGAAAACTGAAATTGTATTTGTCTCCTTGGGGCCTATATTTTATCACTGAAATAATAAATATATTGACTTTGAGAAAATAATGTATTATTTTAGGTTTTATCACAGTTAAATTATTCAGGATCTTTGCAAATAATTTAATATTAAATATTAAACTATCTTGCTCATTATAATGTAAATAACATCTAAATATTAAAATTATAAATGACTTATTAACATATAATTATCTTATAAATATTAATGTTTAATGCATTGGTATTTATTAAATATTTAATTAATTTTCAATTGGTTACTATTAACATTTAAATATTACATTTCTCATCACTTGAATTTGTTTTTGGAGCATGAATATTTGACTTACAGGAATTCCAAATCAGTTTCTGCATTTTAAAAATATTTCTTAATTTATCAGAATCACTATAATTGTTTCAGATGAGTCAGAATGGCTTATAATTCACTAAGGCTGCATTTTAAATACAGTGCCTACATTAGCTTGGCTAAGCACTGCTTCACATAAGAAATACTCTCTAAGTTCTCTCTGAGACTGATAGCTAAGAATGGACAGAAATATTCTCTTCTCTGAGAAAAGAGCTATTTATTAAAATGTATTTAATGTATGAGCTAAAGAGTTAATTATGCATCCATTCTTTAGTGGCATTTTAGATGACAGCTGTGTGGAAGCAAGGAGGATAATATTAATACACTATCTTGAAATGAATGAAAGCAAAAAGAAATTTTGTGCCATATTCTAGGGCATTTGAGTGCCTCACTTCAAGTCAATTGTGGAACACAAATGTATTCATTTTGTGTTGAGGAGCTGGAATGATTATTTTCCCTGTGTGAAAATAAGGCCTGCATTGATTAATCTGTGAAAACAGCAAAGGAAAATGAAGTTAACTGGCAGTTGTGGCAGCCATTTAATTCAAGAACAAAGACTGTCTATTTTTAATAGTAAATAGAATATAAATTTGGGAAAATTGACTTACAAATGGAAATGAGATTTCTTAATATTGGCAATAATTTATCAGTCATTTAAAAATAATATATGCAAATAATTTATTTTTTCTGAGATTTATTGTATTAAAGTTGTTACATAATAGGTTATGGGGAAAATAGGACTGTGCTTTACTTTTCATATAGATTTTTAAACTTTATTTGTAATTAAAAGGAAGAAAGCCTAGTGAAATAATGCTTCTAAAGTATTTTAAAATTCATTTGTGAAATTAATTTTAAAATTAGCTTTCTCTTTTTGCTATTTCAGGGGTTGCCATTAGATTGATATCTAATCCAATTAGCCTTGGTAATAAGTGCAGAGCATGTTGCCTAGGCAAGAAACAATGAAAAAGAGCAGTGCACCACTACATCAATGCTTGTATTGCTTATTTTAGGTTCAAAGTATTTACAGTTTCAATTTTGTTTTGAATAATGCACTCCTTAATCCAACAGTTTTAGGTGAGAAAGAAATCTGCTATTGAGTGTTTCAGAGATTATTAACCGTGATTACACATTTTAGGATCACCTGTTGAGCTTTGAAAAAAATACGAACGTTCAGCTTCCATACCAGACTGGATCTATCACAACCTTTGGAGATGAGAACTAGCCATCAGAATTATCTAAAAGCTTCATAGGTGGTTCCATTGTAAGCTAAGGTTGAGAATAAGTTTTAGATAGCCACATGCATGGGGGCACATTCAAAGGATCCTATGATCTTAATTGGTAATATCCATTTTTTGATAATTATCTTTATAATTTCTCTTACAGTAATAAGACCAAATTGTACTTGAAGCCCTTTTATTTTTTCCTATCAGTATCTGCTTCTCATGACTACTGAAAGGATGAATTGCCAAACTGTGCCAGTCATTTGCATTTTTGAAGGTGATACATAACTTATATGCAGGCTCCTTTTATAACACTGGGTATTTTGTAATCAAACATTGTGTTTGTTAGAGAACCTGATATTTTAAGTCCACTTTATAAAAACTGTAAGTTTAAGTAGTAATAAACATAAGTAACTACCTTTTTGAACAATTGTGTGTTGAACAGTTAAATCTCAACCTTGACTTTTTAAAAAATTTACCCAACAGGTAGAGTCAACAAAAAATTATAGTCCACATGTGTTTAACAACTCTCTTGTTGAAACAATAAAACAAGCCATAGGAAAGGTGTTTTTTATTTTTTTAATCACTTCCTTTTCTGCTGAGTTAATGGCACAATCATTTTGGCTAAGAGGGAGGGGAGAGTTGAGTGACTTATTGTCGAACTCTTGGGATGAACAGATCATGTACAAGAAAGGATATTCAATAGGATATAGATTTATATTTAGAATATATGAAAAATGAATTGTTTATAAAGCACAAAGTACAGAATACAAAATATGAACATGGTGAAAAATTTTGCCCACTTGGAAGTATGCCAGCTAAGAAAAAAAATATATCCAGGGATATGCCACCTTAGGAAATCATTACAGAATTTCCAGAATTTGGGAGATTTTTATGTGTATTAAAAGAGAGCATGATTAAAAGAAAAAAAGACAAAATACGTTGGTCTGAAATAAATGTGCTACACTTGATTTATCAAGCATCATAATTTATTGAATGATGGCATATTTGCTAAGTATTTTGGACTAGAATATTGTTAAATGCTCTGGACTAAAACAGAATAGGCATTTTAAAAAACTATCACCACCACCAAGGAGTTTGAATTACAGGGATTCTTCCCAACATTGCAAATATATATGTATCTATGTATATCTGTATATATACATGTATATATGACTCACAATCAGTGTCTTCTTGTATTGAACAAATGACTTAACCGTACTGGTACCTTATCAAACCTTTAGTTCAATGGGTAACAAGAGATGCCAGAAAATAGACGAACAAAGACAACAACTAAAATAGTTAGATCAGTCTCTCTGAAGTTTGCGATTGTCCAGGAAGATCCCAGTAGAAGCTCCCTCATGCTCAGGGGAGTGCAGCAGCAGGTAATAGGCAGATAACTCAAGAGGCTTTTGGTATCCAGAAGTTCTGGCACAGATAGGTTCAATCATGGGCCAAGAGCTAAGATTTACACTTCTGAGAAGATTGGAGAGAGCAAGCAAAGAGACAAAGGGGATGCCCATAGATAGGCCAAACTTCACAAACTAAGGGCACAGTTTTCCACAAAATTTCCACAAAATTCTACTTCATACAACACTCACAAGTTTGGGGGACTCCAGGCTATTCTTACTTCTGACCGGCTGGCTACAAATTCGGGGGTTCCCACGGTCTTATCAAGTTTAATAATTTTTCAGAACAACTCAAAGGAAAAAGGAAAGTGCTATACTTATGATTATAGTTTTATCATAGCAAAAGGGTACAAATCAAAACCAGTCAAAGAGAGAGACACATATGACAAGAGCACAGTCTGAGAGGATCCCAAACATGAAGGTTCTGACAGCTGCTGGGTCACATTATCCTCCTGGCACGTCATTATGTAATAATAGATAAAAGTATTGCTAACCAGGGAAGCTCACAGGAGTCTCAGTGTCCAGACATTTTATTATGGTTTCATTGTATAGACATGATAGATTAAATCATATCAATATCCAGCCTTCTCCACTCCTCAGGTTGGGCTGATATCACATAGGCCAAAGCCCAAACTCTAATATTATGGTTAGTCTTCCCGGCATGACCATTGCCATCTTGAATCATCTCCTTAGTATAAACTATAAGGTGTGGTTGAAGGGGCTCACCATGAATAACAAAGACACTCCAATCACTTGGGAAATTTTAGGATTTAGAGCTTACCTCCCAGTAACCAGGGACAAAGACTAACTAAGATCTTTCACAAGTGGTGGGAGCCAATTTATCAACCTGGAAAAGCAGGGAAAGGCACACTGTGGTATAAACACAGGCACTTGCACTTAGAGTAGGTCATACAGAAAGATTAACATTTGTAGAGCTGAAAACCTGATTTTCTCTAATTGCTATAACTATGGCTCATTTCTGCTCTTAGGTAGAAAAATGAAGAATGTAGGGGGAGTAAGACAATCAGGTAACTACAAATGTAATCTCTGTCTATGAAGCTCTGTCACCAAGCCTACCTTCTTCACTGAGTTAAAGGGAGTATTGGAATTCTTTGAGAAGAGAATTATACCATATTACTTTATACCACCATTTTTATTCTCCCTTCTGTTATTCCTCATATTATAAACTCCTTATGTGCATTTCAAAAAGCCTCTAGCTGAATTCCGCAGTCTTTTGAATGATTCAGCATTTTATTTGACAATAATGAAAGTACGTTTTAGACTTTAGTCAGATAACCTTCTACATTGTGCCAAATTATCATTCACCATTTTTTCTGTATGTTCCATTTTGAAAATCCTTTCTCTAGCTAGCTTCTTTGTCTCCTTTTTATTTAAATGAGTTATTAACTCCATAGCAATAAGATAGACACACACTTATTTAAAAATGTTAAGAACCACTGGCCTGTATTATTCTACAGCTGCAGGATACTATACAGCAGAGTCAAGCATAAAATATGTTTGTTTAAATTTTAATGACATATATAATTTTCAATTATTAATGGATGATAATTAGAAATAAAATGGTACAGATTGAGTCAATTTATTAAATACAATAATGTATAGGACAGGGACTAGAACTGAATAGGCAATTTGAAAACACCACCACTACCACCAAGAAGTTTGAATTATGGGGATTCTTTCTAATATTGCAAATCACAGTGGCCTCACCTGGGAAAACAGAAGCTGATAAAAATTATGCATCACATGCAAAACTACCTGGAATATTGTTCTTGGCACAGCCTGAAGTTTGTCAGGAATATTTTTTAAGCTTCCTTGAGTTCACAATTAGAATATAGCAGTAATTCAAACCAACTAAGCTTAGGCACAGAAGATAAAATTGTGAAACCAGGTTATAATATGGAAATTAGGTATATACATAAAGTAAATTGGAGATATTAAGCACAATAATATAAAAATACAGAAAAGTTAAAAAATGGTTTTAAGATTGCAGAAAGGAATCTTTCAACAAGAAAAAGGCAGGATAGTAATGCAAATGCAGAACATCTGTAAGACTCTGGGAACTACCGTTCAAAAGTGAAGGAATCCATCTGAGGGAAGCCTATGGGTCTGAAAGGAAGATGCAAAATATTTAAATATAATTAATTTATTGAGTAAATGATTACTGAGTGCCTGCCATGTGCATGGTAAGATTTTAGGGTTGAGAATGGAGTTCAAAGAAAGGCTAAGTCCTTTGTTACTCTCTGAATGGATTATCCCAAGTGATACATTTTTTCTAACAGAGGACATCTAATTAAAAATTTGAAAGAGTGATAAAAGTTGTAAATGCTTCCCAGAAGCTGATTGAATTTTCTGAGAGGACAAATGATGGTGAACTCAAAGTTAGCAACCCTTTTTCTTGGAACATAATGCACCATGTTCATCTGTGAAAAGAGATGCTGGTCACCCATATTTCTCCCTCTTCTGTTACCCTCTGCATCTTAAAATAATAAACTATATAATTACAAATAGTGGGAATACATGTTGTACAGTTGAAATGGTTGAGCCATTGAGTTGCAAATTTCCATTAATATTTTAAAATGCTCAGAGCAGTGCAGAGAACTCTGCATTCCACTTTGGATTTGCACCTTCACAAATTCAGTTGAAGCGGCCCACATTCTTGCTAACAAAATTAAAACTACAGTAAATCTCATTTTTTTTGGCTAATTAATTGTTGTTGGAATCAACACTAATTATTATATAATTAATACTAATTATATAATTTAAGGGAAGTAAAATAAATTAAGTCTTGTTTTATAGGGGGAAAAAAAGAGGAAAAAGAGAAAGGGTTGGTGAATAGATAGTGAGACATTTAGAGACAAAAATTCTGTATTTTCCCAACAACTAAACTTTCTGAGTCATAGTTTCCTCAGCTTTAAAAAGAAGGTAGTGTCAACAGCTACCTTGTAGGAAAATTGTGATATTTGCTAATAATATACACAAAACACCTAGCACTGTGATAGGCCCTTCAAAGTTGTGATAGAGTTTTTTAAAATATGATAGGTGTTTAAACATTAAGTAAATAAAATGGATGCTATCATAATAGTGAGTTGCAACAATAGCAAAACATCTAACCTAACATATTCTTTGGGATTAAATAGCCTCAAAACAACAAACATATATTTGAAAGGTGCTTTCAAATAGAATAATACTCCTTAGAAACATCAGAAACTTAGCTGAGATGAACAAACTGAGTGGCTCAAAGCCAGGATGAATTTTAATCAACCATGTCGTAATGCCATTATATGATTTGCAAAGCAAAAACACTAGCGGTTTGTAATGGTAGAGACTAACTTGGGTTTCCTACTTTAGTTGTGATTTTTGCATATTGATTTACAGTGTACCAAAAATCGCATGAGCTTCCTTCGTTTTGCTGTGGGTTTAACAAGCTTCTTTTTAGATTCTTTTCCATATTTCAGATATACAGACAAATAGCTATCTAAGATAGCAAAATAAGAGTATCATGACTGCACTCAGTAAGCTCCATGATCTCCTTTATCCTTTCTGAACTGATCTCTAATATTAATTTCCTCTTAGGTGGCATTTTAAAACTACTTCCTGAAAGATAAACATTAAAAGTTTGCTTTCCAGATACTTAAATAATGTCAACTTTTCCTGAATTGACCCCTCGTTCCTATGCTTCATGTTTTTCCCAACTACCTCAGTATCTCTGGAACTATCAGAGAACACAGTTTTGCAACTTTAAAAATCATCCAGATTTTTCTTTCCCACTGTGAATGCTCCCCAAGGTACCTGGTCCCACTGCAGAAATAAGAACACATTGACAAATGCATAGCACTTAATAGGCCTCATTTCGCACAGTATTTGAGATACAGAAACTTTTGAAGTCACAGTAATATTTAATGCACAGGAGTTACCTAGGTAATTTACATTCTTCTATCACAGTCAAATGTTCCTCAGTGACGCTGACTACCATGAAATAGAGATGCACTCTAGGCAGTCTGTAAAACCTGATTCACTGGGTAAAATAGCAGCCTAAGTTAATAAAAAACAGATAGAACTTTTGAAAGAAATATTGACATATACTGTATACATGCAACATGACAACCTAATTGCTAATAATGCCTTTCTGAAAAGTTCTATTTTACTTATTTTGCATAATTGGTTTGAAACCCCTTTTTTATTTAGTAGCACCATTTATTTATATGCAGCTTACAAATATTCTTATTTGCTCTTATTCAGTGTCTACCACTGTAGACGATTTCTCCTTTCATAGATCTTAGAGTCCAGTTTAGAAACAAGGCCAGATAATACAAAATAATTAACACAGGAAAGTCTTTAAAGAAAGTGAATTCTCTTAGATAAGTTAAACAGCACCTGTGTTCTTACTAAGTATATTTGCTCAGAAAATCTCTTCTTTGAGATGATTAAATGTTAGAGTTCAATGCAAGTTCAACTGAATGATGAAAGTTAGACCTCCCTTCCCTGTGCTTTCCCCAGCATTTTCTTAAAACATCAATTAAAATTGTGTCATAACCTATGAAATTTCAGGTTCATTTTTTCCTGTGTCTTTTATGGGCCCCTTAAACTGTCCTTATATGCAGGACATAGTATAGTAACTGGCATATAGGAGATCTTCAATAAATAAAAAATGTGTTTAGTGATGCTTTATTATTCATATAATAAATATAAATTTATCTAATATTTCTTATAATATATGATACTTTAAAGCCTGAATTGGAAGCCAAAAAAGGGTGGCAATTGGATCAAGTCACTTAACTTCTGTTTCTCATATCCTGATTTGCTATTTTCAGATTCACAATTATGTAACCCATTCCATAATTTCAATTTGGCGTATAGTTATTTGGTACCTTTTTTGAGGAGGAATTTGTTATTGGATTAATTCATAGCCTAGCCAGTGCTTCTCATGTGACAATGATCCTGATATTGAGAGAATCTTACTTATTTTATCATTTCCCTAAAGGATAAAGAAATTTCTAAATTTCACTGGATGCAATGAGTTTTTAAATGACATCTTAGACCACACCATGGGACTAGAAAAAAACAGGACTCTAAAATTCGTAGGAAGGCTTTAAATATTTAGAATCTGCTTGTCTACTGAGAGACCCAAGAGGACAGATAAATTCTAAGTTCATTCGTGGGTCTTTACAACTTCAAATTTCAGAGAAACTCCCATCATGAGGAACCCAGTCATGATTTGTCTCTCCCTATGTTTGGGCCTCTTCCATGCTCAAGGTTCCATGGGACTCAGGTTAGAATCCCTTCTATATGTGGTACTTGCAGTGAAGAAATCCAGAGGCCTAAATATCGCTGGTGAGCAATGAGGGGCTTGGCCAACCATATAAAGTTCAATGACACACTCTATGGTGGCACTGGAAAAACGTTCATTGGTTCAGTACTCTCCAATCTCAATCCAAAGAACATATTTTCACTAAGAAAAACTGACGTGCATTATCATGTGGCAATTGTAAATGTGTAACTATACATAAACATTCTGATATTAGGAAAGATAAAGATGGACACAAATAAAAATAATACTTTTCCTGATCTCTCTTTGCTATTGTTACCAAGAACATGTAAACAATGGAAGCAAGGTCTGAATTAAGTGAAATAAGTCCTTAATTTCCTCTGCTAATGGTATGGAATCTTGGAAAATTAGAAACTTACTTTTGCTTGGATAGGAAATCACTTTGGCTGGCGATTTACTTTTCCACGTACAAGTATCATGAACTAACAATAATTTCCATTTTCCTAGCCTTGAGCAAGGAGAAAGAGCATAGTATTAATTCACATAGAAGCAGAGCGTTATAAAAGAGCACATATTTGTGCCATGAAATATGATACTTTTGTACTTTTTAATAATGAGATCGCACTACGATTACTTCATTGAATTCAATAGTGAAATATTTTTGATACTTAGATAACCCTTTTGAGTAAGAAGTCTGATCTTTAACTCTATAACAAATATATAAGATTTCTAATTAAAGAGTTTTTTAAATAAATGTTAAATTTCTTTAGCTCAACTGTTTCTGTTTTTTGAATTATCACTGGAACTTTCTGCATAGTTCCCTTGTTCATTCATCCATCCTTTCTTTCATGTAACCTTTCACTACATTCAGCCCTAACTAGGCATTGAATTTCTCCCAGGCACTTGGGAAACAACAGTGAATAGCAACAGTCCCTATTCTAATGTTGGCTAACATTTAGGAAATGAAGAGTTTTAGCTCATCAATTAACTGCCCTAGAGATTTAGAAAAAGTCAACTGAAGCCAAGTTGATGAGTAGTTATTAAACACTTATGTCCTCTGTAGCAAGTCCCTAGGTTTATGTCAATTTAAAATTCTGAAAAAATCTGGGAGTGTATGTGACAAGTATTCTGTCACTCCGCTCATGATTGTTTAGCTGTTTTTCAGGAACATTCAGAATCTAAAAAAGGACCTGGGACTTCTATTTCCTGGGAAAACTTGAAGCCTCTATTGTCTCAGCTCTTAAATCCTGTAGAGTGAAACCCAGGGATTTCTAACACTCTGGAATAATTGGAGCAAAAAGTAGTACATTCTTTTTGTTAAAAACCATGATAAATTGGGATACATTTTACCATCAGAGGACAAAAACAATGATATAGCCTGGATTATCTCATAAACGTGGTGTAAATATTCATTTTACATAAGGCTAAGAAGGTACTTTCAAGCTTGCACACACTGAATGTGTTTTCCCTTTGAGTACACCAAAAACAGTTTTATTTAGTTCCAATCAAGCAAATACATGGAATTCTTTTCATTTTTATGTTGATAAAGTCAAATGGTTTGGGGATAAATTCCTGCCCTCAAAAGATTACATCAGAAAGACCAACATCTGCATTTTCCCACCAAAAACAACATGGTCTAGAGCACAGATCTGTAAACTTTTTCTGTAAAAGCCCAGAGTATAAATATTTTAGGCTTTTCAAGCAGTATAATCTCTATCACAGTTACTGAACTTTTCCTTTGTATCGTGAAAGCAGCAATAGACAATATGTAAATAAACAGCATGCCTGTGTTCCAGTAAAACTATTTATAAAACAATCAGCTGGCCAAATTTGGTTCACAGGCCAGAGTATGCCAACCTCTGATCCAAGTAAACCTGTATTTTGAGCAATGGGAACATTTGTTATATTTATTTCTTTCTTACTCCTATTTTATATCCTATAAAAGACTAAACAGTGAAAGAGATATAATTTTTTATTTATTATCAGGTATCAGTTGTAATAATAATGCCCTGGTGAGAATATTCTCAAAAAACTAATATTTGTCCACTTAAGTGCCATTTTTCCCAACAATGATAAACTTTTGATCATTTTTCTACATAGTAGATTGTTTTCATTTGCTCTATATTATAATGAGTACAATTGAAATTTTTTATGCTTTTCTAGTAGTCTTTCTCAACTAATTCTTATGATCGGAGGAACTATCTGGGGGCAAATGCCCTACATTAGTTGCCCTCAATCTGCAATTGTTTCCCAGTTAATATTTCCATTTTTTTATATATCAATTATCAATATCTATGCGTCTCTAGTAACCTTCTTTCCTTTGTCTGCACCTCCTTTTACACACCCATGCATGAAATCTGCTCTTGATGAGGAACTAAATTCTGATTGAGAGACCAAAATAACCTAGTTGCTGGAATCACATAAAATGTCACCATAAAGCCAACATTGAGTTATTTTAAAGAAGAATTGCATTTCTTTTCTGGGGACACAGATTTTACAATAGCTATTTTCCACAGTACTCAAAAGCTTGGTTACTTGTTTCTTGCTTTTTTGGAATAATAGATTTCTACTACCCTCAATGTTTTGGAACCTAGCCAAAATTAGCAGGTAAATGGAGTTTTCCTGGTGTACTAATACTTCTTTATTTACTGAGTTGTTTACTTGGAAAAACTGATATCTTTGTGTTTTGTTTTGTTTACTGATTTTGCTGCTTAAGGTTTTTTCTACTCTATATTCTGCTTGTCTCTCACTTTCTCTATACAATTTAACACAATGGATCTCAACCCTGGACCATATAACTATCATCTGGGGAGTATTTGAAAAATACCAAACCGTAGGTCCCAGCCCATAGAGTTTTCTAATCAGTAGATTTGGGGGACAGAGAGCAGGTGTTAGTTATCTTTTATTTTGATTGTTTAATATTTCCAGGTGATTCTCAAGTTATTCAAGGGCTAAGGACTACTGGTTTCCTATATCCAATTTATTTATTTATTTTTAAGAATTCTATGTAAAAAGATTTTATGGGCAGGGGTTTACATTGATACTCCTCTTTCTATTTTGTGGCATTTAAATCTAACACATAATAAATACACAGTACACATTTATATACACACACTTTTTTGATGGTCTCACGATGTGGAAAAAATAGGCTTTAGCGTTCGGTGTTGAGATCTTTTGTTTTCTTTTTCTCGGTCAACTATTGTGTCTTAAATGACTATTTTTGGTAACTGTGAAGTCATGTGTGTGTTACTATCTTTCTCTTTTTCACAGCACCAGAAGAATGGGCCACAACCCGCTCTAGCTTGAAGGCACCACCGCAAAGGTCAGCCAGAGGGGGATACAGGGAACACCCCTATGGTAGATATTGAAGGTCCTTCCCACCTGTGACCTCACCTCAAAGACAATTCATAGCCTGTGGTCTCCACATAAACAGCAACAAGACAAGTAATAGTCCTTTTTTTGTTTGTTTGTTTCTATTCTAGGGATAACTGCTCATGATTACTCCCATATATTTCTAGTATTTCCCTCTGTACTGTTGGCGTGACATTGACACTAGTATTATTTTACAAAACAGACTGAAAAAGACATTAGCAAGCATAGTCTATAAACCTTTCAGTAGGATGATATTCTCTTGGTTGTTTTTCATTGTTGTGTGTAATCTTTTTTTTTTCTTTTTCTTTTTTTTTTTTTTGAGGAAAAGCATGAATTTGTTAACAGATTTTGAGTCTCAACCAACTAGCAGAAACTTTGTTTAGGGTTGCTAAAAGACTGTAATATGATTTTTGAACTAGCTGATAATAAAGTTGTAGATAAGATGTTTTAACCTGTCTTTTAATATCTGTTAGTTAGACAAAGATGTTTGATATTAAGTTTGTAAATTTAATTTTAATGCTGTTTTAATGGGGTTGAAAACAAGCAGCTACTGTATGTATGTAGCTAACTGAATTTGTTCAGTGTTTTAACCTGTATTTGTTAAAAAAGAAAAAAAAACACACATAAAGTTCCATGTGTAAGCTTCTCTAAATAGGAAACCACAATTTGTCAAATATGTTTGCCATAATTTGTCAATAAAGCTGAAAACTTTTGTAAAAATTAAATTTGGAATTACTTGTTTTCTAGCTTTAAATGCCTGCTTTATTTCTTCTTCAAGAGATGCCTAAAATGTTTTCTATTTAAAAATTACAAAAATGAACCCAAGTCTGTTTTAAGATATTTGTGTAATACTTAAAAATGTATTAATAACTTATGGTTGTTAAATAATTTAAAAGTTAACAAACTAAACTGTTACATGAATCATGGTTAGTAAACACTAATGTATAACATGTTAATGGAAAAAAATGGATTTAGAATAATAAATGGATTTTAAACTATCCTCTAAGCTTTATCTTGCTAAACACAAATTCTGATTGACTTGTTTGCATTAGCATGTCTCTCGTGAGAAAGAGTAATGGAGTATAAAGAGGTAAGATTACCACTTACCACTGTCTAAATGCCTAGTTCTTCAACCTTTGAGTTTCCCCGCACATTAAATATCCCATCCAACATGTAAGCATTGCGTAGATTCACTTTATTGTTTTCACTCAAAGGAGTGCGTGGACTTCATTCGCGTAGTTTATAACAATTTGTTTTGACAAACAAATCATCAGTGTCACTGGCCAGTTGTTGCTATTCAACCTCAAAAACTTTATTTGTAATTTTCAGTGCTAAATATCACCGCCCTAGAAGGCAGTTTAGAGGGCTGATATTTCTTTTGAGACTATCAGACTTGATGGCTGATGATTATTAAGGAAATATGTCGCAGGACTCAAAGGATGACTAAACGTTAAACAGGTAACACTAATAGTAACTCTGTAATTTTGCCTATGCAACAGTAATGTTAAATATTCTCAGTTATTAAGTTCCTGATAGTTAAAAAAGTAAACCTACAAAAATATAACAAATAGGTCTATAGGCTATTAAAACAACTAATTAAAATTAACTAGAGGCACCAAAATTATTTGACATTATATAACCCTCAAGGCAATAAACAGAACTAAAATTAACAATAATAGTAATGCAACTCTTGCTAACTTCAAATGTAAGCTAAATTTTGATGGAAAAAAAGAAAGTGAAAGACTTGATGCTAGGGATGAATGCCAAAACTGTTAATCTTTTAAATACAGTTTTTTTGTTTATGGTGGCTTTTTGTCGATGTGATTGGTTTACTTTTTTGCTGCTAACCAGCTTAGGCATATTGCTGTTCAGTTTTTGCAGCTGGAGTTGCATGCTAATCGTATTATGAAGTGTGTGTCTGTCATCAATTAAAATTGTAAATATTTGCCTTTTACAAAATGCTGTTGAGTTATATTTAATTTTCTTTTTCTATTCCTTCTCATTATTTCAGGTACCCACAAACAAAGAACACATAATTGAATAACCGATGTGATTTGCTAAGAAGGATGGAGGTAAGCTTATTTTTTGTCTTATTTGAAATAGATAATCTCATCAGCATGAACCCATGATAAAACGTGAAGCTATAGTGATGAGCTAAAACACCTAATGCCACTTGTTGAACTACTGAAAAGGCTTAGGTTGTTGTCAAGAAATTGAAGTATTTTTTGTCCTCTTTGAAATAAAGTGGCATGATTTAGTATTTACCTGGCAAGACTTTGTGAATTTAATCAGAAGCTTGTCAAGTGAATTGTGAATTAGTAGTTAATCTTCTGCCTTTTTCTTTGCTATGAACTACTATATTCTACCTCTCCTTAGTTTTACAAAGAAAGCGCAATAAAACTTGGTTATAGGAGAAGGAACTCACAATCATTGGCTAAAATAAAGGGAAGGGACAGGGTAGTCCCTGACCAACTCCTTACCTATCCCTTGTCAATAAGAATAAAATAAAATAACTAAACATTACCATTATTTTCCCCAGTTATCCCATTAGACTGATCAGTAAGCTTTTTGCTTCTCATCCAGCATTCCATTTTATTTAGCAGATAGTTACGGAGTAAAATCGCTGTTTGAAATTGAGACTTGGTTTCCGTACACGAGAAGTTGAAAACTTTAGCCAATAAACTTCAACTGAAAAGAGTGCAGGGACAGTTATGAAATCCACAGGCTGAGCTGATGCTCAAAGAACTGAAATGACTTAGTGTGATGTTTAACGCAGGGTTTTAAACCCCAAGTTTTAATCTTCTGTGTCTAGTTCTGTTTTTACTACATAAATATCCATAATATATGTTAACTTTAATGATCGACTTGGTCTGATGTTTAAAGCAGGGTTTTAAACCCCAAGTTTTAATCTTCTGTGTCTAGTCCTGTTTTTACTACATAAATATCCATAATATATGTTAACTTTAATGATCGGCTGTAGGAGAGCTATGAGAGAGCCTGGAGATTCCTTATGATGGGGGAAAAGGGGGCAGTGACAGAGACTGAGAGAGATATGAGGTGGAGTGGAAGGAAAGGAGTAGCTCATTCGCTGTGAGGAAGGCAACACCTCCTGGTGAGGGGAATAGGCTGTCTCAGTTTGTGCAGCTGGAAAAATTCAATGTGTTTGAGAGGAAAGCAGAAGCCCAGTGGGCCCTGAGGGGCAGACTTACAAAAGTACACAGAGAAAAGGCAAAGCCTGAAAATACTATGGGTTCAAGTCAGTTCCCAGTTGTCACTAAGTGCTGTGTTGAATTGTTCAAATTTTATAAGGAAAAGGAAGAAGAAGCTATTACAGGTTTGAAGTAAAGAATGAGTGCTGTTCCTAATAAAACTACCCCCGTAAGACAAGATAAACCTCACATTTAGTCAATTTTATCATTACTAACTGCCCCTTCACCTGAGACAGCTTTTCTAAAATTCAAACTCTTAAAACAATTATTTGATACTGTATTGCTTCAACTAAAGTTCTTTTCTCTGCAAGATTGCACATCAAAAATTACAGAGTTAAATTCTGAAATTTTACTTATCAGTAACATTTCATATATATTTGAGTATAAAAATTGTCACTATTTTTGTAAAGCAAGAGGAAAAAGAATCTCTCACCCAGACATCCTACTCATTATTCTCTTTTATCCATTTCAAACAGTGGGCTTGATCTGATAAAGCAATGAAAGAACAACCAGCTATAGGTTGTTATTCTTTTGATGTGTTAATCAATATGACTTTTTATTCACTGTAATTATTTGATTGTTGTTGTGGTCTTATAAACCTATGACTCTCTCACCATTCAGACTAGATCTTTATATGCATTAACTCAGGGCAGGGTTATCGCAGCAGAAAAATTAGTGTTGAACAAGAAAAGAGAACATTATTTTTAAGTACAAAAACAATGATTTGCAAGAAAGGGAATTTTGATTTTCAGATAACTTCATTTTGAGTAACGTAAGCCTGATTTACTTTGAACATAAAGTTTATGCATTAAACAGTAGATATAAAAGACTTCTACTACCTACCTACATATGTCTGCAAGATAAAGGTTGTCCAGGCTCAGAAGAGAGCTCAAGAGGCAGCAATATCTAAAATATTAGCATGGCCTTTAATATGGGTTCTATACACTGTGTCACTTATCCAATAAAAGCCTCAGATGGGTTTGGAACACAGAGAGGACCTCTGACTAAAGGGGAGTCTGGGAGGCAGCAAGCCTCACAGAGTTGTCCACACCACTCTGTGTGAGGCGCAATCCTGTAGAAGTATCTATAGGATGTTTCACTGCACTAGCAAGAGTGAAGCAAGTCTGGCAGAGAAAACTGCACACACAATTGCTTTCACAGGAAGGCAGGGAGGATGCAGTAGCTTCAACATAGACCAGTGCTGGCCAGGATGCAGATGTTGTCAGTGGACACAATAACATGGAAAGGTGAGAAGATCAGCTGCTCCCTGCCACCAGTGCCTCCAGAACTTAAATCCAAGCCAGGAAAAAGAGAAGGGGAAAAATAAATCCCTGACAAAGGAACTTCTGATCAAAATTAATCTGAATTGGCTGGGATGATTTTTCTGCACTCAGCGGAATGGAGACTTAAGTTTGAAATCAAGTTAAGGTTTAGAAAAATATAATTATATATAGCAGAGACATTTATAGGCAAGTCATAACTTGCCTCACTCTTAAAATAATCATAAATGAATATGCTAGGCTTCTCCAGAGACAGAGAGTGATAATTTCTTTAAGTTAGTATCCTTTTAGTGGCAACTTTTATTTGAACAAAAACCATCAGCAAGTAGTCCTAACTGGCAAGCATATGCACGAACAGAGGATGCCTTCTCTTGTCAGTATCAGGAAACAATGCTGGTCCCATATGGGTTCATGGCATCATGTCTGCCCTCATGATCTTCAATGTGATGGCTCCCAAAGTTGTCAAACATCATGTCTGACATCCACCTCATGCAAGTGACACAAACTTGCATGGCATTTTAAGGTTTTTAGATAATAGTGCAGCCTAAGCATATTTTAAAGTTATCTGTATGCGTGGTCTATGTATATTTTCAGATAATGCTCTAACTCTTGGTTAGATGATCCCATAACAACTGGAAACCTCACTGAAAAATCAAATTAAATAAACAAATCAGATTAGCTAAAAACTAGACAATCAGACTAACTAAACAAAGTATTTTAGTAATAATAAAATTAAGAATAAATTATTTGTGCCTACTAATATCTGGGCAACAAAAAGTATTACTGAACTCAAATATGATTACATCAGAATCAATTTGATGCCATTTAGGAAACTGAATAGTGGTGTCCTGAGGTCTTATAGTGCCCTGAGGTCACTATGTAATATTTAGATAATATTTAATGTATATTTAGATAATTTTCACTTTTAGTATACAGTATTAATGGAACTGTGACCATTTAGCTTAATAACCGTTGAAGCACTAACAGTTTTTAAATAAAGTTGTCACAAAATGATATTTAGATAATATTTAGTGTAATATTTAGATAATTTTCACTTTTAGTATACCGTATTAATAGAACTGTGACCATTTAGCTTAATAACAGTTGAAGCACTAACAGTTTTTAAATAAAGTTGTCACAAAATGACATATGAAAGGTTATCAAGAATTCTTTGAAAGGAAATTATTTTTAAAACTATGTTATTAAATGATTACTCTTGTTCTTTTAGGTCTTTACATGAAAATATATAGACTAGTATTTTAAAAGCTACAATGCTTTTTTAAAATGTAACTTTTTAAGTTTGACTAATGAGTAAAAATATATAGTTAGAAGAAATAAGACCAAGTGTTTGATAGATCAGTAGGGTGACTGTGGTTCATAATAATCTATCATACATTTCAAAGTAGCTGGAAGAGATTAATTCAAACATTTCTTGCATAAATAGAGACAAATATTTAAGGTGGTGGACATCCCAATTACACTGATTTGATCTTTACAAATTATACGAACATATTAGATTATCACCTGTACTCCAAAAATATGTACTCTATTACATAACAATAAATAAAATTTTAAAATGTTACTCCTTATATCATTCTCTCTATATTTTCGTTCATGTAATACCGAAGTTTGTAGGGTTGTTTTGTCTTGTTTCTAAAGGGAAGAGAGAAAAGTGATCAGTAATTTGAGCTGGCTGAGTATCACATACAAAGTTTCAGTATCAAAAGGCCTGTTGCTAAAACAATGTTTAACTTTTACTGCAAAAAAATCATGTAGTAAGTAAATGATTGAAAATACTGAATTGTATAGTAGTTGTTAAAGTTGATTACATGATTTATGATTGATATAAGGGTATATAGCATTAATAACAATAATGATAGTGGAATCTTCTGGTTTTTGAGCATATATGCTGGACAAGTTACTAGAATTTTCACATAAAAACTTACTTGAAGCATCTGTAATTCTTTGAACAAGAATGCAAATGAAGTATAATTAAACTCATTTTACAGAAGAGGAAGTAGTGTCACACTGCTAAGATGTATAGCAAAGCCAAAATTTAAAACAAAGTTTGATAACCCACACATTTTCCAAAATACTGTGGAGTTTTCTAACTGAATAAATTTGATCAAAAAGAGGAGACAGAATTCCAGGTAGCCTTGACATAATTTCTGTTCTGCAGCAATATGAAGAATATTGATGTAAAAAATGATATGACAAAACATCTTAACTTGAAGTCAGTCATTTTACTTTGATCTTTCCCCATTCATCATTCTGATTTCATCATAGAAAAACATAGATGAAAGTATTCCACACTTGCCACAAAGCATGACTACAGTCATTGGTGGAACAAATGAATTCATTTATAATCTAAATTCCATTTTCACATTTAAGAAAACCACTCACATGATTAAATAAGCATGAAAGCAACTTCAAGCTTTTATTCGTCAATCTGTAGATCAAAACTCTGCTTTAAAGAATAAGGGTCTTCTGGCTCAGGATTGACTTGGCGATGCGGGCTCTTTTTTGGTTCCATATGAACTTTAAAGTAGTTTTTTCCAATTCTGTGAAGAAAGTCATTGGTAGCTTGATGGGGATGGCATTGAATCTGTAAATTACCTTGGGCAGTATGGCCATTTTCACGATATTGATTCTTCCTACCCATGAGCATGGAATGTTCTTCCATTTGTTTGTATCCTCTTTTATTTCCTTGAGCAGTGGTTTGTAGTTCTCCTTGAAGAGGTCCTTCACGTCCCTTGTAAGTTGGATTCCTAGGTATTTTATTCTCTTTGAAGCAATTGTGAATGGGAGTTCACTCATGATTTGGCTCTCTGTTTGTCTGTTGTTGGTGTATAAGAATGCTTGTGATTTTTGTACATTGATTTTGTATCCTGAGACTTTGCTGAAGTTGCTTATCAGCTTAAGGAGATTTTGGGCTGAGACGATGGGGTTTTCTAGATATACAATCATGTCGTCTGCAAACAGGGACAATTTGACTTCCTCTTTTCCTATTTGAATACCCTTCATTTCCTTCTCCTGCCTAATTGCCCTGGCCAGAACTTCCAACACTATGTTGAATAGGAGTGGTGAGAGAGGGCATCCCTGTCTTGTGCCAGTTTTCAAAGGGAATGCTTCTAGTTTTTGTCCATTCAGTATGATATTGACTGTGGGTTTGTCATAGCGGGAGGCATCACACTATCTGACTTCAAACTATACTACAAGGCTACAGTAACCAAAACAGCATGGTACTGGTACCAAAACAGAGATATAGATCAATAGAACAGAACAGAGCCCTCAGAAATAACACCACATATCTACAACTATCTGATCTTTGACAAACCTGAGAAAAACAAGCAATGGGGGAAGGATTCCCTATTTAATAAATGGTGCTGGGAAAACTGGCTAGCCATATGTAGAAAGCTGAAACTGGATCCCTTCCTTACACCTTATACAAAAATCAATTCAAGATGGATTAAAGACTTAAACCTTAGACCTAAAACCATAAAAACCCTAGAAGAAAACCTAGGCATTACCATTCAGGACATAGGCATGGGCAAGGGCTTCATGTCTAAAACACCAAAAGCAATGGCAACAAAAGCCAAAATTGACAAATGGGATCTAATTAAACTAAAGAGCTTCTGCACAGCAAAAGAAACTACCATCAGAGTGAACAGGCAACCTACAAAATGGGAGAAAATTTTCGCAACCTACTCATCTGACAAAGGGCTAATATCCAGAATCTACAATGAACTCAAACAAATTTACAAGAAAAAAACACACAACCCCATCAAAAAGTGGGCAAAGGACATGAACAGACACTTCTCAAAAGAAGACATTTATGCAGCCAAAAGACACATGAAAAAATGCTCACCATCACTGGCCATCAGAGAAATGCAAATCAAAACCACAATGAGATACCATCTCACACCAGTTAGAATGGCAATCATTGAAAAGTCAGGAAACTACAGGTGCTGGAGAGGATGTGGAGAAATAGGAACACTTTTACACTGTTGGTGGGACTGTAAACTAGTTCAGCCATTGTGGAAGTCAGTGTGGTGATTCCTCAGGGATCTAGAACTAGAAATACCATTTGACCCAGCCATCCCATTACTGGGTTTATACCCAAAGGACTATAAATCATGCTGCTATAAAGACACATGCACACGTATGTTTATTGCGGCATTATTCACATTAGCAAAGACTTGGAACCAACCCAAATGTCCAACAATGATAGACTGGATTAAGAAAATGTGGCACATATACACCATGGAATACTATGCAGCCATAAAAAATGATGAGTTCATGTCCTTTGTAGGGACATGGATGAAATTGGAAATCATCATTCTCAGTAAACTATCCCAAGAACAAAAAACCAAACACCGCATATTCTCACTCATAGGTGGGAATTGAACAAGAGAACACATGGACACAGGAAGGGGAACATCACACTCTGGGGACTGTTGTGGGGTTGGGGGAGGGGGCAGGGATAGCATTAGGAGATATACCTAATGCTAGATGACGAGTTAGTGGGTGCAGCACACAGCATGGCACATGTATACATATGTAACTAACCTTCACATTGTGCACATGTACCCTAAAACTTAAGGTATAATAATCATAAATAAATAAATTTAAAAAAAGAATAAGGGTCAATTTCAAACTAGAAATATACTTGTATAAGCCATGCAGTCATGTGTTAAGAACCCAAGTGAAGATACCATTCAGTGTTAAATATTTTTAAAAGGCATTTCCTGTTGTCGATATAATGTGTAACATTTGGCAAAATTCTAGTTAAATTCTAGTTTCCAATTAAATATCTGAGGTAACAATAAGATAGCTGTTTTTGGTAACAGGTACCAGTTTTCCAAATCCATCATTAAAATTAGTTTCTTAGTCTCTTTATGTAGAAATTATTAATTGTTATTCAAAAGAATATTTACAGTGTGCATTGGAGAAAGTCACTCTACTTGATATGTTGTTTTCTCAGTCTCTTACACTTTATTATGAGAGGAATTGAGAAAACAGGAGAAATAGTTGTCTGATTCATATACTACCAGTTGCCCTAACAACAGCTGGCTTATCTTTCTTTATACCCAAACACAAAAAAATACAGAATGAACCAACTTAAAAATTGGCAACTAGTTACTGAACACTAATCTTAAGTTCCTGTTCCACGATGCTTCATACTTCACCATGGAATATAGTGAAGGATCTATACCCAGGAGAAAATTGGAGATGCTTGATCTCACAGGTTTTCTATCATCTTGATGCCTCTCAGGATGACTTACATCAGTAGAAAAACGTTCTACTGTTTTCCCTCTCTTCTGTCTCATTGTCTTTTGTCTCACAATGGTACACCATATTTCGTATCCTCTAAATTCACAGTCTACTTTTTTAGACATGATGAAATTTTTCAACTACTGTAATGTCATCATGCTCCTATCTTCTCAGTGTCTTGTGTCATTTTCGCAATACCATATGGGGAAATGAGAAGACAAAGAGAAAGGCAATTGACAGCTATGTGGGAGAGTGCAGTGTCCAATCTATTCAACAGAGCTCCTACAATGAGAAATGTTTATTGAGTTAATTATGAAACCAATACGTGTCCATTGTAAACCAGAAATTATAAAAGGAAAGAGAAATATATTTAATGAAAATGGAAAAATAACAACTGTTAACATTAATATGTAATCTCTGTTCATAAAATTTTGATTTCTTATCTATAAAGTATAAGAGGATGAACTAGATGAGCAAACATCTCTGATTTGTCCAACTTCTGTAATTTTTTCAAAGTATAAACTTTAAAATTAGAAATGAACACTTATTTACGGAATTTACAAAGACCATTAAATAAAGTCTGTGACTGGAATGAAGGCAGTTTTAAATATCTTTAAACAGGGAAAATTATAATTATATGTTGCTTGAAGATATTCTTTAAAATGAAATTAATGTTGAATTTTTAAACTGTGTCTTTTAACTTTCTTGTTAGGGGTTTATGAGTATAAATTAATTTATTGACCAGTAAATAATTATTTAGAATTTATGTAGATATGCTGCTTTATGCTTTCTTGTAAGGCAATAATTTGTAAAATAAGTAATATCACATTTCATCAGAGAAACTTCTCTGGAATCCTTTTATCACCTGATAACCTTTAATGAAGCACAAATTGGCATAACTTTTTAAAGATTTTTTTGTTTCTAGTGAGTAATTCAGGTACAAATAATGATTGTCTTAGGATTTGACAGAATTAATGGGAACTTAGTACTTTTGGAGGGCTTCTTTGTTTTTACATTGTCAACTATGATTACAAAGTAGTCCATTCTCAAGGTAAACAAAAATAGTATGTAAAGTAAATATGTAGTTTAAAAATAAGAAATGTATAATCCTACTCCTCAGAGATAGCTGTTAATAGATTGGTTTATAGTTCTTTTCTATTTCTTTGTCTTTCTTTCCTTCATTTCCTCCTCCATTCTTCAGCTGTTTGTTATTTATTTATTTGAAGTGGGATTCTGGTGTGTAAATATATGCAATTTCAATTTTCAGAAGTGAGCTGAATTTTGTTTCTTAGTGAAAAATAAGCTAATACCCATTTCCAATAGGTTGATTTGTGTATGCGGGGATGATTAAAGTTGTATCATGTACTATGGAACTAATCCATAGTACACACTCTAGAGTGTGAGCAAAATATCTTTATCTTTTCAAGCTTAAATTTCTTATAGGTAAAATGGTGATAATAATAGTACATACTCATAGAATTATGAGCTATGTTAATTAAAATCATGCAGGTTTGTGTATATTCTCCCAAGTTTAGTAAATATCTTCCCCAAGTTAGTTATTTTTTCTTGGGCTAACATTTTTACTTTAAAATATCCAAGATATATATCAAACGTGTAAATAAAAATTAAGTCTATAAACATATTAATATGTTTAAATATATTTAACATTTAAACACCTTAAACATTTTTATAATGTTCTCTTTAAAATATTTAGCTAATGTAGCCTTTAGAAGTTGTTAAGAAATCATCATTATATTTATAAGCAAATATATATTGGATGTATTTATAATAGGTACTATAAGGTATGTTTATATATAAGAATCCTTACAATGATGTTGCATATATATTGTTTACAATGAAAGAGTCAGGGGTAAAAATGAAAGTGAGACTAACAATTGTTTCCGTAATAATAATAATCTGAAGAAAAAGACATTTTAAATAATTAAGTGCATACTACCTGTCAAGACTGTTGTGTTTTTGAGAATTATTTCATTTATTTTCTCAACAACCCTAAGTATAAAGTTGATATTGGCTCAAGATATTGAGTCCTGTACAGTAACCCTAATCATCATGTATATTATGCCTGTCTATATTTGCCTATTTACCATTGATTAAATGGAAGCTATGTGTATCTAAGTATAGAATTTAGGCTTTGTGGAGGTTGAGATATCCTAAACAATATAATAACATAAAATCTCCATGAAAAATGAAAATAAATGGGAAATTGTCCCTCTAGAAAAATAGTCATGGTTACTTATTTGTTTACTAACAGCATCCTGTATTGTATTGATTTGTCCCAGTCTGTGTGACTGCAAAAATAAAATGGAGTTTTCCATTTATCTCTTTTCCAATCTGATGATACCCACTACTAAAATATATTTTATACCTTATTATATTTAGTAATAGGATACCAAAGTGAAGGTGAATATAAAAACAAGGAAAAAGATTTGGAAAGAAAAAGAATGTAGCTTAAAAGCTGATATCCATTAGAAGTGCTGGGATTAAACAGATAGTAATGTGAAAAACAAAAGATACACCTCTCCTTACATCCTTTAGGGAATGTAATGTCCTGAGATCTAATAATTCTCATAAATTGCCATCTTGTACTGTTTATCACATAAAACAATAACGTTAGATACTTAAAATATGCATTCCCTTTACAGTGAAAAAAGAACATTCAACTCCTGAATACATCTGGAGCTTCTTTTTTCTGTCTCAGAATAATTACTTTCTTAGACCATTACACACTTTCCTTTTACTTCCACCAGCAGATTTTTCTTTTATCATTTTGGAAAATGTCTGTGTCCAGTGTTAGGTAAAGAATAAAAATTTATACCAGCCTCTCACTTGTCTGTTAAATAAAATTTGTATTTTTAGAAAATTATAAATACTGCATATTATGCACCTTAAGATTTGTCCAGAGATATTAAAAAATAGGACTACTAAATCTATGCATGCCAAAGGTATACCAAAGTCATTTTACCACACTATTTTATAAATATATTGATGTTTGAGAGACAGTGTTTTTGAACCTACATTTTAAGAGTTCTGTATTTTGGTATATAATACTATATATTGTGAGGTAAAAAATAGACCCTCTTGCAAGCCTTAACAATATAAAGTTCTCGATAAAAATGCATTTTTTATTTGTTATATTTAGATTAATAGGAAATACCTAGCATAGAGTATTTTAAAAACTTAATTACTCATAGGTAAAACTTAGTGATGAGTTTATTTGATTCCTCAGAAGTAGGAGATAACCACTAATTTTCTCAGGATTTAATTCCAAGATATTTGAATATTTTAAGTAATATTCAAATGATTTATTGAATCCACATAATTTTCCATCACTAATTCTACCATTTCATTGTATCACCCAAGAAAACACTTCACCCTGCAAATAATGCTAGTAATGCTAGCCTGTGACTAAATGAAGTAGGTTCAGAAGAAAGTAGCCTCATGACAATTTAGTTAAAAAATATTCAGTGAATGCCAAATAGTCTGCTGTGCTAAATATATTGCTAGCTGTCACATAAGGAAAAATGACATCAACTGCAGTATCTTGGTTTAAAGATGACGAAGAAATATTTTGCAGAAAAGCAGCCAGGCTTTACCTTTCTGATGCAAAAATTGGAGCCCTCTTAGGAAAAGGCTTAATGGTTTTTTTCTTAACTGGTATATTGGTCCAAGTTGAAGAGAGACATTTTTCAAATTTAATTAAATGAATAAATATCAATATGCTTCCATCTTTTCTGGTCTTAAAATACTTCTTATGTACTGTTTATGATTTTTGATAAATTGCATAAAACTTTAGCTGGGGAAGAATAGAATTGAAATTAATTAAAAATGTGAGACAGTCATAAATAAATGGAAACATTCTAATTTATGTTTAAAATATCAGAATTGTGATTTCATTTCTTTAGGATCTACTATTACAAGAACTTCATTAAAAAAAGAGAATATAGTTGTTATTCTACCACTAGATAAAAATTAACATAACTTTTGTCATTATTTTTATATACTTCCTTACATTTGTCCTTCCATCTTAAAAAAAAAAAAAAGTACTTTGCGGCTATTGGATAATTGACGTTTTTAAATGAGTTTAAAAGTCTAATTTTTGTTTGGTTTGCAAAAGCCAGAACATTCACAGAAGTTTTCTAATTTTCAACCAAGAATCCTTCTTTTGAGAAAAAAAAAAAAAAAACCCAGAAGGTTTGTGTCTAAATTAAACAGGTCAGCAGTTGATCTTAATTTAATTTACTAAACAATTTCATTTAGCAGTTCAGAGACTTGGGCTTCTTCCATGAAAGTGTAGCCATCTGGAGGATTCTACTATTTGATCTAATTTATCTCTGTCCACCTTTATTGCTAAAGTGCATTGCAAGGACCCAGAAATACCTATTTGTCACAAAACCATTGTTGAAGCAATACATGGCAAATAATTAGAGAGTTTAGTGTTTTACAATTAATTTGCTGTATTATATTGTTTAATAAGAAAAAAAGCTTTTTCAATATAAAAGCAACATATTTCAAAGTCTTAGGCTTACTCTATTTTCAAATTCGACACAAGTTTCTGAATTTTCATTCCTGTGGTCAGATAGTTCCACTGTGCTGTACACTTCAGGGTCTGGTGTACTCAGAAGCAGACAGATTTCTGGTTAACTGCAAGAATCAGGAAATGCACTTTTGTATTAGGAAGTGGACCCTAAGTTGCAAATTGTGAAACAAATATATATATTTGGTAATAAAATTTCCCCCACCACCTATTCTCATCCTGCAACGTAGAAGGAAGGGTCTAGAAACACAGTGTAAATGAAAAATAACTTCAAGTATGTCTACAATGTCCACAGCAAAAATACTATAATAATATTTTACATGCTAAAGAATGTTTCTAGAATGTGTATTTATTTATAAAGCTAAATTATTTGATAATGATATTTGGTAAATATTTAGGCATTATTTTATTCTCTGGATATGTTTTTAGAAATGTGAAGACATAAGTGCTCTATTGTATTTATTTTCCAAGTAGGATTTATTTTGTTGCAATAGAAGTATACCTTCTTTCTCAAAATAATGCTATGATAGCATTAATGTTTTACAGCTGCATTTAGTCAATTCATAGACTTATCAAGTAACAGAAATAACACATATCTCACTTCTCAAGTGATTTGTATATATGACTAATAGTTTTGATCTTAATAAAATCATAAGCAACATCAAAATATAACTATTCAACTTGTCAGACTTTTGGTTCCTAAGTATAATAGTTTTTTAAAATTATTTTCAATGTATAAAATGTGAAACTATAACTTGAGAACAGAAATTTCAGAACTAAGCACCATCTATTAATTTGTTGATAACTATTCATTATGATGGAATTAAATTTCAAAATTAAATTATTAGAGTAAAAACTGTGAATAATCTTTATAATTAAAAATTAAAGTATTCTTTATATTACACAGAACATCAGTTTTGTAATACATTTAATTCTGGATTTTTTTTTCCTTCAAAAGATATTCAGATTTTACCAGCACTTACTTACATAAATGAATAAGATTGTATTTCAGACTTTAATAGAACATTATTTATGTAATTTTTCTATTTTCTATATCATATACTTACCAACCTTCTAATTTTATTGATTACACAGTTTTGAAAGTTTATTTTTTTCTACATTAAGCCAGTAAAGTTTAGAAATAAGTATTATCTATTGAACTGATCATCTATTCAAATAGGACACTTGCCAGAATTAGCCAACAACCTGTTAACTCTTTCTTCTCCCTGGTTTTTCTGAGAATGCAAGCATTACTTATAAGTGATGCAACTCCTCTTACACTTAAAAATATACCCTTACATTGTAGTAAAACACTTAAATATTTCCTAATACTTCTGGCAACATTTAAAACCAGTGATTTATGTCCTATATTAACATGATAATACCTAAACCGTATGTCCAATACTCTATTTCCTAAAATATTTTCTTCTATTTTAATTTCTGACATATGAAAATTAGCTATAAAATAACTGGAGAAACATACTATATTTATTTTTAATTGGAAGTAAAATTAGAATTTATAATTCAACTCCTTTATGAAATGCATACCAAACACAAATTTTTATGTAACATCAAAAATAGACTAGACATGAATTAGAGCATGAATTATATTAGCTAACAATATGTAGAATTAGAAAAAGTATATCTTTTAAATTACAAATAAATTGTGTTAATATCCAATAGGTATATATTTAAAAATTAGAAGTAAGTTAATTGCTCAGCCAAAATATTTTTAATGTGTTGTAACACCATAGACACACCTTTATTTATTACAGATATTAAAACTATAGTGCTAAACTAATCAAATTCAAATCAATTTAACCAAATATATTTCAGTGAAACAGTGTTTAAGAAATGCAAAATATACTAAAGAATGAAAAACTCATTGCTTTGTAATCAAAAGCAGTCAACTTTAAACTTCTTCTACCCATCAGGTATATGATAAATTTGTCATTTTCCAGTTGTGTTCTTAGCAGGAAGTTATCAAGAAGGCTTGACATCTCTTAAACTTGCATCTAATTTGTCCGTGTTTATGAACCTAATGTTGATCTGTAAAACCACAGTACAGGAAGGAGAAGATGGCTACAGTTCTGTTAAAATATGTATACATCAGGATTTGCAAATACCATGCATGGTGTTAAAGGATGCCTGTTTTCCAAAAGGAAATGGGCACTGTCTTTTCCTCAGTTCTTGTTGTTGTTTTTTTCCTATGTCAGATGATTCCCAACTAAATTTGGGACAATAAGGGGTATTGTTAACTAATTTTCCCAGTATTTGGATATATTAGAATGAATAACAATGGATAAATATAATACTGCTATATCCAAAATGCTACAAAATTCAGAAGTCATTTTTTCTCATAAATTCAAATATGTCAACCTTCCATTGATACTATATTTTCAGTAATTTTATAAAACTTCTACCCAAGGAAGGGTGTTGAATTAAAACATCTAATCTGCTTGTACTTTTAAAATGCTAGCTTTTATATAAGAAAAGTAGAAAGATCAGTAAGTGTGGTGTTACAAGTTCAGAAAACAATTGAAATACAAAGGTTAAGCCTTTCTGGTATAATAAACCAAGTTTCACCTTTGACTGGTTTGACCCGGTTATTTCTATTTTAACCCTGTTTTGATTTTCAATTACAAGGCAGCAAGAGTCAAGCCACATACATCAATTCTTTCCAAACTTTTGATTTTTCTTTCATTTTTACATGAGTGTACATTTTTGAATATTGATATATGCTCTTTACTCCCTAACTGATAATGTGAGATACTATAAGAATCCCAGGAATTTTTAATAGTAGTTGAGGTTTCATTAAACTTAGTTTTCAAGTGACATCTTAAAGTTTATTCATCAAATAATTCAGGGTGTAAAAGTAGCACATAAACATTAATTGAACAGTCATTAAGCAGTATAACTGTTTGTTTTCAGTTAATAGAGGACATTAAGCTCCATACCGTGTGGTGGAAAACAATAAGGTCTTATGATACACGTGCCATTAAGGATACTGCTACCAGACTTAACCAGTTTCACTTTACAAAATAATGGTCAGCGGTAGTCAGAAGCTTGCCCAAGCCATAGGTAGTCAGATTTCTACTGCCATGTCCCAGCTGCATATATATATATATATATATATATATGGTGTCTCATGCCTTATGCTAATGGTAATGACTAATGTTTGTCATTATCTTCAATCGTATTTTATTTTTATTTTTATTTTTTTAATTTAATTTTATTATTATTATACTTTAAGTTTTAGGGTACATGTGCACAATGTGCAGGTTTGTTACATATGTATACATGTGCCATGTTGGTGTGCTGCATCCATTAACTCATCATTTAGCATTAGGTATATCTCCTAATGCAATCCCTCCCCCCTCCCCCCACCCCACAACAGGCCCTGGTGTGTGATGTTCCCCTTCCTGTGTCCAGGTGTTCTCCTTGTTCAATTCCCACCTATGAGTGAGAACACGCGGCGTTTGGTTTTTTGTCCTTGCGATAGTTTGCTTAGAATGATGGTTTCCAGTTTCATCCATGTCCCTACAAAGGACATGAACTCATCATTTTTTATGGCTGCATAGTATTCCGTGGTGTATTTGTGCCACATTTTCTTCATCCAGTCTATCATTGTTGGACATTTAGGTTGGTTCCAAGTCTTTGCTATTGTGAATAGTGCCGCTATAAACATACGTGTGCATGTGTCTTTATAGCAGCATGATTTATAATCCTTTGGGTATATACCCAGTAATGGGATGGCTGGGTCAAATGGTATTTCTAGTTCTAGATCCCTGAGGAATCACCACACTGACTTCCACAATGGTTGAACTAGTTTACAGTCCCACCAACAGTGTAAAAGTGTTCCTATTTCTCCACATCCTCTCCAGCACCTGTTGTTTCCTGACTTTTTAATGATCGCCATTCTAACTGGTGTGAGATGGTACCTCATTGTGGTTTTGATTTGCATTTCTCTGATGGCCAGTGATGATGAGCATTTTTTCATGTGTTTTTTGGCTGCATAAATGTCTTCTTTTGAGAAGTGTCTGTTCATATCCTTCACCCACTTGTTGATGGGGTTGTTTGTTTTTTTTCTTGTAAATTTGTTTGAGTTCATTGTAGATTCTGGATATTAGCCCTTAGTCAGATGAGTACATTGCAAAAATTTTCTCCCATTCTGTAGGTTGCCTGTTCACTCTGATGGTAGTTTCTTTTGCTGTGCAGAAGCTCTTTAGTTTAATTAGATCCCATTTGTCAATTTTGGCTTTTGTTGCCATTGCTTTTGGTGTTTTAGACATGAAGTCCTTGCCCATGCCTATGTCCTGAATGGTAATGCCTAGGTTTTCTTCTAGGGTTTTTATGGTTTTAGGTCTAACATGTAAGTCTTTAATCCATCTCGAATTAATTTTTGTATAAGATGTAAGGAAGGGGTCCAGTTTCAGCTTTCTACATATGGCTAGACAGTTTTCCCAGCACCATTTATTAAATAGGGAATCCTTTCCCCATTGCTTGTTTTTCTCAGGTTTGTCAAAGATCAGATAGTTGTAGATATGCAGCATTATTTCTGAGGGCTCTGTTCTGTTCCATTTGTCTATATCTCTGTTTTGGTACCAGTACCATGCTGTTTTGGTTACTGTAGCATTGTAGTATAGTTTGAAGTCAGGTAGTGTGATGCCTCCAGCTTTGTTCTTTTGGCTTAGGATTGGCTTGGCGATGCGGGCTCTTTTTTGGTTCCATATGAACTTTAAAGTAGCTTTTCCCAATTCTGTGAATAAAGTCATTGGTAGCTTGATGGGGATGGCATTGAATCTATAAATTACCTTAGGCAGTATGGCCATTTTCACGATATTGATTCTTCCTACCCATGAGCATGGAATGTTCTTCCATTTGTTTGTATCCTCTTTTATTTCATTGAGCAGTGGTTTGTAGTTCTCCTTGAAGAGGTCCTTCATGTCCCTTGTAAGTTGGATTCGTAGGTATTTTATTCTCTGTGAAGCAATTGTGAATCATTCCATCTTATTTAAAAAACCTCTCAGGAGAGACTGATCATAGATAGGACACTGCTGAAAGTGAAAGTGTTTTTCTAAAACACATAATATAAAAAGCCCTTAAATACAAAAGGTTGGATGGATAATTTAGTTTATTTTGGGTATGCTTGACAACTGCTACTGTTATTAAATTTGCCATGAGACTGATTGACATCCAATATGAGAATGCCTTATAGATGCCTGTATGTGTAATTGCACAATGCTTAAAGCTGTTCTGCTCATCTGGGACTGTAGGTGAAGATGTATGATAGAAAAACGAAAAACTGGAATAAACCCAAGACTGGCTGTTTGGAGGTTTAATGTTTTTAACAATGGAGGTGAGTCCCTTCATCTATTTGTGATTTCATTTATGAACTCTGCTTACAAGACAGGTACAGAACACTTCATTATGGACCCAGACATATATGTTTAAATGGATAAAGTAGCTGTTTGCATCAGATGGAAGCTAAGTGGAGACATTAAATTAATGTCAAACCAGTGAGAAACTCTTTTAGTTTTATTCTACATTGTAGCAGCATAGTGGTAATGTGGTGACTTTCATATGCACACAATTTCTGTGTGTCTTATTCATCAGAACATGAGGTTATAAATTCCTGTATTACAAAGAAAAACAAAAGCAATAATCAACTAATAAAAAAATATATTTTGTTCAGAGAATGTGATGAATGTTCACACTGTTTTTCACAGTAAGGAGGATGGGGGACAAAAAGTTTCTGTGGAGAAGAAATGTCATCCACCATACATGATGGCTCTTTATCGAGCCTTTGCCTAAAGTATGACTGTACTCATCCTGCCAAGTATCACCTTTTTTTATTAGAGGAGAAGTTCAATTTCACTGGAGAAGGCCAAGATATAGGGACTTCCAATAAATCTTTGTAGAATGAAATGGGATGGAATGGAGTAGGGTAGAACAGAACCCAGTAGAATAGGACTATAATTATTTGTTCCTTCCTTTAATTCTAATTTGTTCTGAAACAAAAGGAGAAATAAACGTATGGCTGATCAGAGATACAGATGATTTGGAAGATACATTTCTGTTTTCTTCCTTGTATATTCTTGTATTTTAAAATAACTACCTGGGGAGTATAAATTACACTTACATTTGCTTAATGAGATAGGAAATTGTGTAAGATATATTTCAGGAATTTTTTCTTAAAAGAACTTAAGTAATTTTTTTAATGAAAGTACATTTCCCAGGACCTGATATTCAGAAAGACCTTAGGGAAGAGTTGAGAACAGTTATGGATACTATAGAAACATTGTGCCTCCTTCCATTTTGTCTCAGAGGAGTTTGGAAGAAAACAGTATCTTCTCTTTATGACCATCTTGAATCTGATCCATACTTAACATCTTTCCAAACTCTTTTCAGAGTTCCACGTAAATTCTCCTGTACAATATAACACTCTCTTTGGAATTCACTGTCAGTTACGAACTACACTGTGTATAAAGTGACCATACGTCCTGGTTTACGCCTGTTGTTTTAGGGTCATAATCATTAGCACTACATTTTACTCTCAGATGTGTCCCAGTAGGGATGAGAAATTATGGTAGTTTTATCTATAAATAATAATAACATGTCAACAATAATAACCAATAACCTTATTGGAAGCTTGCTATTTGTCAGAGACTTTGAGTGCTTTCATGTATAATGAATTCTTCATAATAACCCAGTGAGGCAAGTATTTTATTTCCCCCATTTTACATTAGAAGAAACAAAGAGTTAAAGAGGTTAAACAGTATGGCCTGCTCACATAATGGGCCCAACCTTAATCCAGACGAAGGTCTGACTTTATAACATCGTGTGCCAGAAGATGGTTATGCTATCTTCTTCTTTGCTGGCTGATAGAATTAGCTTTGTTTTTTTTTAATACACTCAAAGATTATCAATACTTCTCATTTGCTATTCTTCCTAGATGTTGTAACTATATTTTTATAAGGACTGTGGATTTTAAGATGCAAGAAAAGAACACCGAAGTGAACTAAAATTCATTTGGGTTTTAGTTCAGGATATTAATTTTACTATATTAATAAAAATAACTGTGATTTGTTGAGTGACTAGTTTATGCAAGATTGGGACTTTCCCTTTGTTATATCACTGACCCTAAAAACAGCAGTGCAAGGCAGAACATTTGAACCCCATGAATGTATATGATTGCTTTAACTATGAGCCCTAAATTGGTTCATAGGTTACAAATGAAGCTTGGGGCATTAACTCGTTTCAGCAGGCCTCTCCAGCTCTGACATTCTTATCCCTAGCTGTCTCTAGGAGTACTTGATTATCAGGATATAAGACATGGAATCTGGATGCTAGGAAAAATTCTTGGGGACAAAGGGACTTACTCAGCACCTCATGTTTATATTAACTATTGTGCATTGAGTGCTTAATAAGGGCATGCACTTTATATATTTTTGTAAACATATTTTCTTCTATTTTTCTCCTTACCATAGGCCAAAAAAGAAGATAATTTGGATTTGAACCAATGTAAGTTTAACTCCACTATGCTAGAGAGATCATCTGTCTCTGAAACTCTCTATAAATTACCATAATTTAGGAACTTTTCTGAAAAGCAGTATTAAACATGAATAAATAACATTTGCTGATAATCAAATTTGTTCCACGACTGTATAAAGAATATCAATATAAAAACAGATATAATAGTGTTGTATAGAGATTGTTGAAATTCCTTGTCGTATTTTCAAATAAAAAGTGTGGAAATTTTTACTAGTGCAGAGTAAGTTCTGTATACTGCAAAGAACAAAGTTAATGTAAATCTGTGCCTATATGCAAAAGATGATTACAATTCACTTGGGAATACAAGAATATAAATCCACAAATGTGGATTGTGTACTATTTTAAAATGCCAAATTTTATAGTGTAATCTGAACAGTGGTTCTTAACTGCGTATGCATATCAGCATCATGCATGGTGTGTTTTAAAACTACAGATGTCAGGACCCTACTGCATTGACTAAGTAAGTTTTGAGGTTAGAACCTGGAAATGTGTGTTTTTAAAATTCCACAGGTGATTTTGAGGTGTACTATGGATAACAACCAGGGGATTAAAATATATGTGTAACATATTGATAAGTTAATTATGCAGATTTTAAAAATTAATTTTGGCTGGGATATAAAAACATGGCTTTAGAGAAGAGATAGGATTTGAATGGAAGGTCAGATGTGGACAGAAAGTAAAAGAAACATTTATTTCTTTTTCTTATTTAGCCCAAAATAAAATTTTATCTTTAAGGTTTTTATCTGCATTTCACATTCCTAATTGGATTGGGCTGGAATAGTAAATAAAACAATAAATACCTGGAAATGTTCAATTATTTTCTAATATATCTGTGATATGGCTATATGAAAATCAGGTTTGAAAGCTTGCCTGAAAACTTGTATATTATAGTATTTATATTAATATCAATAATAAGGAAATCTAATCACAGCTAATAAATGCAATTTAGGCTGCAAACTACCAAAGGGCAGGATTTATGTTTTATTCAAATTTGAATTCTTAGATATTTAGCATAGTGGACTAGCCTATGCATAATATATATTTGTTTGTTGAATGAATTAGACATTTGGATTTATTTGCTTTATTTATTCCACCTTGTGGGGCAAATTTCACTGGTGTCCATTTGAAGGCTTAAGAACTTTTGCTATGAAAGTTTTGGTTTGTTCATCTATTTGTTTCTTGACCCAGAACCAATGTTCTGACAAAGACTCACAATCATTAGCTTATAGGAGAAAGCTTTTAGGTTTTTTCTTTCCAAGAAAAAGACAAGGGAAGGAAGGACAGGTGGAAAAGGCATATGAGAATTGCAGGAGAGCTCCTTTTTAACAGCAGGAGAGTTCTCGTTCTAAGTTTATGCCCACAGCAGCTGGTAAACCACTCTTCTCAGATCAGTCCTTCCACAGGGAGCACTGAAGTCACCAAACCTGCCAATGATCAGGAGAAAGGCTTCCAAAGCTTTCCCAAGCTCTATCTGCTAACCAACATTTTTTGTAGGACACGTTTGTTTTGTCACTGTTTTGGTTTGGGGTGTTAATGGAGCTTTAAAGGCACAGTGAAAAGATCACAAAAACTATTTTGCTTATGTTGCATATGTCTTTCCAGCACCAGTCAAGCCAGGGTTCTTTTGCTTTTTGGTTGTTGTCGTGGAAACGATGTCAGATGTTCATATGTTCCCAGTGGAATTTTACAATACTTTTGGAAACAGTTTCATAGGGTGAAAATAAGAAGAAGAAAGAATGAAAACAAAACACAGATGGGAAAATAGTACGGTGACTTGATGATAGAAAGCTTTGATTTTCATTGTTCTACTTTTGAAAATAAGGGTAAAAGTCGAGGGCATCTTACAATGCTTAGCTGTGGACATCCATGTGTAAAAACATTTTCAGTGTGAGACTACTTTGATAATGATGACAGCCACTTACTTTGGTATCAGGAAAGGGACAGGTAAGATCCAGAGGATGGAGCTTGGGCAGAAGCTGTTGTTACAGGACAGGATTCCTGTAATCTACTCTCTCTATGGACCATCTTTTGAGTAGTTGCACTTTTTCGGCTTCCCCACTCCTTTCTCCAGGTGCCTTGTGATTGCTTCACCCTAGACAAGTCTGTTTTTCCTCAGGAGAAAACAAATCCAAAATAAACATGATTACATAATTCTTTATAAGCAATGATTAAATAAGAACATATCTAAAACAGTTTAATTCATATTGGGTGGCATAAAACAGCTGAAAATCTAAAGAATTTCTGTTTTAGGAATGTTTCAAAAGTAGGCCATCACGTGCATGGTATATACGTCATCTTGAATACAACCGTAATTTTAATCAGTCAGTGATGTGCTGGCACCGGCGCATACAAGCTCATAGGATCCAAACGTGTGCATCTCTTCTCAACTAAAGTTCAATGACTTCATTTTGGTAGCTTGAAGTAGACCCTGGTGTGTCTACTTATACCATAGAAATTGGGGAATGTTACAAATCTGGACTTTTTAATTATTTTGCAGAGAGCCAGTTTACCAGCACACCACTGAGTTACATGCACATTTTAGAAGTAAAAAGAGACGCAATATAAATATACGTCTCTGTAATTAGGGATGTTACTTGCTGAGTAAATATTTAAAGAAGACACTGCTTAAGAGACACAGTATTTTGTTAGACTGCCTAGGCTCAAATCTTTTATTAGTTGTCAATTAACCTCTCTGTCCTTTTGTCTTCTTATCCTTAAAATGAGAACTTCATAGGATTTTTCTGATGATGAATGAGTTAATATATATGATGCACTCAAAAAAGTGCCTGCCAGAGAAGGTTCTCAATAAGTATATTCTATTAGTAGCAACAAGAGATGAGGCTATATGGTTTTTACAATCTTCTCTTAAAAGACTGCCTAAATTCAGTGTTATTTTCCTTGTTGAGCTTTTATATCTCAGAAGCCCATACTCAATTTCCACAAGTTTTGTAAAGATCCGTTAAATGAAATCACATCAAATCTCTTTGAAATGCATAAAGCACTATGTAAATGAAAGGTGGAATAATTATGTTAAAGGCATCATCTTGAATTTTGTTTATACTGCATATCTGAAATGAACATCAGATTTCTCTCTAGGCAGTTACTGCTCCTACAGAAACAAACACAGATGGGGCCCAAACTTCCTACTGAATACTTTGAGGCAATGGCGTTTATCAAAATACCTCTGGTCACTAAATGTACAAAAACTTCAAACAAACTCCACATCTCAGTGTCAGGCCAACATAGTTATTTAGGCAAATAAGCCTTTCTTTGACAATTCAAGGATTTTCTGATGTGTGAAATGGACTACTTCAACAAATAAAAAATCTTACATGTAGGCTAAGTTTTATAAAATAGGATATTAACATTGCAATTTCTTTTAGAGAAAAATAAATCAGTTTGTCTTCTGTGATGAGCATTTCTAGCCAAATTAAAAGTAATTTTTTGGTTGTGCATGGACACGTTCCCTTTTCCCATTGCCCTTCTGGTCACATAAAGCAGAAAAAAAATATGTCTTAAAAATACGTATTTAGGCAAAGCACATTGGCTCATGCCTGTAATCCCAACACTTTGGGAGACCAAGGCGGATGGATCACCTGAGGTCAGGAGTTCAAGACCAGCCTGACCAACATGGTGAAACCCTGTCTCTACTAAAAATACAAAAAATTAGCTGGATGTGGTGGCGCATACCTGTAACCCCAGCTACTTGGGAGGCTGAGGCAGGAGTATCACTTAAACTAGTAGGTGGAGGTTGCAGGGAGCCAAATTGCACCACTGCACTCCAGTCTGGGCGACAGTGCAAAACTCCTTCTCAAGAAATAAATAGTGTGTGTGTGTGTGTGTGTGTGTGTGTGTGTGTGTATGTATGTATGTATTTAAACGTTCTAAGAACCTAGTGTTTGGAATACAGACCTTCCTATTCCACAGGATAGTCCTGGGATTTCTATAACCTAAACTCTCCTTATTGGGTTTTGTGTTGTTTCTGGGCATGTTTGCCTTTGAATCCACTTTTTGCCCTTTCTCTGGCTCAGTTAGCGGGAGGGAGATCTGACCCCTGAGGTTTCATTTCCCAGAAAGCTGTCTCAGCTAGCTTGCAACTGGCTTCTGCCAATGAGGATTTGGGGGTAAGTACCCTGGCAGGAGCCTATGAGATTGAGAAAAAGGTAGAAGTCAGGTTATTTTCCCAACATTCACTTTGCCTCCTGCGCCTTCCCCAGCAGCAGCTGTATCTTTTCCCCACTCTGCCTCTCACGACTCAAGTTTGCCACAGTTCCAGTTCCCAGCAGGTAATCCAAGGCTCCTGTGTTATTTATAGAAGCATCTTCTTGTCCTGTCCTGTGTCCCTCCAGCTTAGGGTTAGTTACGACTTGCTCCTGTTACTAATTTCTGAGTTGAGCAACTCAGAGAAGAAATGGGTAATGAAAGAGACAAGAAGTGAACCTTTTCTCTATTGGTTTCTTGTCTCTTTCATTACCCATTTCTTGCTGTAACTAAGCCCCTGCATTATAGTCCTTTAACTACTTCAACTGAACCCTATTTTCCTAATTGAACCCTGTTTGACCCAAGGTCTGACACAGGTCACTTGCCCATACTGGATTCTTGAGCAAACAACAGAAGTGCAGTTCTCTCTCCCGTATCCATCCTGAAGATTCCAGAGATTTCTGGTTCATGAACACTAGCAATCATTGTTCCCTTTACAGCTCTCCTCCTCTAGTTAAATGATGATTCTACCTTGAGTCTGCACTATATTCCTGAGATGTTGGCAGAAAGTATTTTTCTATGTTTCTGCTAACATTAGTGTCACAAGACACTCAAAAATTATACTCGATTATTAACCTTCTTCAGGCCACATCCCTCAAATTCACTGAAAGGAACTGATTTATAGGTGGTTGGTCTATCAAATGTTAGCGCCCTTTCTAGTAACTCACAAAGAATGATAGGGTCTCCAGATCTATTTCCACATATGAGAATAGCAGGACTGAAGTATGGACCTGTTAGTTATTATCATTCTAAAATTCTATTCCTTATGCTTTTTTTTTGAGGAAGGAAATTTGGGCCACAAAGCAACGTAGTATCTTAAAAGCTTAAATTAATCCTGTAAATATATTCTTAATCCAAAGCTGCCAAAGTAGGGTTGTGTGTTCCATGAATTTGTTAAACTTATTTTGGACTTTGAATGTTGAAACATTGCGATCTTGCTGAGTTTCTAAAAATAGTATTTTATAAATTTTTTCACCATTTTTCTGTATACCCGTCCTATTACACTGCTCCTTCTTCCCCAAATGATCTTTTTTATTTTACTTTCTTTTGCTATGTTATAAATTCTAAGCCAAGTAACTATCCTTGCAGTAGTATTCTCTGAACTCTCCCAGTCACTGTCTGGGAAGCATTGATTTGTAGCCTCAATTTGTGCCTCCATAGAGCGTTTTATGAAATGGTATATTTACCTCTCTCTCTCTCTCTCTCTCTCTCTGTCTCTCAGTTTCACATTAGACTTGAAGTTCCATAAAGGAAGGACTGTTTTATCTTTGCATTCCTAGTGTCCACTAACTTCCTTGGCACCTAGAAATCATTCAAATAGTATTTGTTAAGCTCATTCTGAACAACACTGAAAGTTCCAAGGCCTCTCATGCTGGACAAATTTTAGTATTAGGATTTTCAAATAGAAGGTTTTTATTTTAAAATATTTTTAGAACTAGGAATATTTACTAACAAACATGTAACAGACTTGTTATTTCAGAAGATGCCTAGTGTTTATACCCTGTCCACAGAAGTTTTATCTTTGTTGAATATCATTGATACATAAGGTAAACAGGCACTTCAGAGGAACAGAGGCACTTTAACAAGTTTAGAACAAAGCTTTTCAACTCCTTATCTTGTTTACCTTATTTTTCACTAGAAATTGCATCCTCTCTCTGTGTTTGTCTTCCTAAATTTAAGCTGTTATTTTCAGTGTCCATCTAAATATATTCTCACTGACTCCACCATCAATTAAGTAAATGCCATGTCTCTAACTCATTTCCTTTAAAAAGGATGAGCTCAGCCATGCTCTGTTTATTCCATTTATAATAGCTCTCTTTGCACATTTTGGTCCATTGCCTCCGGTGTCATTTCTCATGCATCTGTTTATTCTACCCAATTAGACTCAGAGCTTTGCAGTCAAAGGTACTTTTTCTTTTATATCTCCTCACGGCATGTTCACAACAGAGGCTTGTAAACTAAATGTCTTCTAGATTTTACCAATCTGTGCTGGTATGTTTAGTTCCTTCAAAATGAGCACACTGATGTGCTCACTCTGTGCCCATGGCTACATCCATGGGCATTTTGGTCACCCACACAGGACACAGCTCTGGGTGGTTCCTTTATTCCAGACCAGGGATTCTGGGAGCTAGGCTATGAAGCACAGGGAGTTCAAGTCCCCTTTGCCACTTTTCTTTGAATCAAGTAATATTCCTAACTTGGCTCTTTCCAGGGACTCACTGTTGCCCTTCTAGTAGTTCCCATCATTAATAATTTGTTATCTGTCAAATAACCTGTTCATTTCCTTCATAGCACTTGTGATAATTTGTAACTATATACACATGTAAAACATGTATAGAATAAGCACATAAAGTGAATAAGTTTAAATTATATATAAATATGTAAAATATATAGTAAATATAAAGTAGATGCATGTATATGTATAAGTAATACATACAAAAATCACATCATACCTATGAGCGTACATCTGTGTTTGTTTCATGTTTTCATCTTCTTTTTTTCTCCACAGATTTTCTTCATCTCAACTCACCTCACCACTACGGATCCAAGCCTGACACAGAGCCTAACAGAAGTAGGTATCATAAATATTTGTTAAATAAATAAAAGGTGAACGAATGTATCTACGACAGTGAAGATTTCTTTCCAATTATTAATTATATCAGATCTTAGGTTTTACTGAACAAAAAGCATAGAGAGGAGAGAATTAGGAACAGGGAAAAACAAACGAGCCAATTTTCTTCTCTCCACTCCAAAATTTCATAGGTTTATAACATGTCTTATCCTAGAAAGGAGTTTCCAGATGTCTCAGTTTGTTTTTACCTGGAGAAGGGAAAGGGGAAGTAAAGAAAATCTCTGCTGTCCACTGTTGGTGCTACCCACAAATGAAATCTATGAATATTACAATTAAAAAGCTAATGACTTCCAAGTAGTATAGCAAAAAAGCTAATTGGGCATTCCTATATCTACTGTTACAGCCTCCCACTTCTTTACCAGTACAATCTGGATATCTTTAGAACATACTTATAGCATATGCACTTATTCCTCCTAAATAAAAAATTCTGATGACTAAACAAGAGTGGAACATAATTACAGGAGTAAGTATTGACTGTGGTTATTAATGACAAGGATTGTGAGCCAGAAGGCTTGGTTTCAAGTCCTGGTTCCACAATTTTCTAGCTGTGAGATTGTGGACAAGATATGTAATCTTACTTTGCCTCTGTTTTTTCATTTGTAAAATGAACATCATAATAATTCAGGCCAAGCAGACCTAATCCAAAGTCCAAAATTCTACAAAATCTGAAACTTTTTGAGCACCATATAATGCCACAAGAGGAAAATTTCACACCTGACCTCATGTGACTAGTTGCAGTCAAAATGTAGGTGCAAAACACATAGTTTATTCAGCATCCCCAAGAGGAAAATAAAATTACTTTCAGGCTATGTATATAAGATGTACATAAAACATAAATAAATTTCATGTTTAGACTTGGGTTCCATCCCCAGGATATCTCATTATGTAGCAAGTATCTATTATAGCAAATATTCCAAAATCTAAAAAAAATTGAAATCCAAAACATCTCTATTCCCATGCATTTCAAATAAGGAATGCTCACTCTGTCCCTAAGTCATAGGCTTTGTTTTAGCATTAAACCAGTTAGAGCACCTAAAGCCCTTAGAATAATGTCTAGCACATAGGAAACACTCAATAAATGTTTATCAATCATATTCTTATTATTTGTATTATTATTTCTGTCACCATCTCCACATTAAGACAGCTTTACTTCTAATACAGAATGGTTGAATTTCCATTAAGACTAAGCAAGGAAAACAGAGAGAATGTACACATTGGAAATAGTAAGAAGGAAAAGGGAACATAGCCAGAGATGCCTCAGAAATGTAAAACAGCATGGTAGAAAGTCAGGATTCTCAGATATTTTTATGTCCTGTTAATAAAGTTTTTCTTTCTAATTCTTACCCCCAATAGAAAACTTTTCCTCATACATCTTCTAGACACCTAATGATGATAATTACTCTTATTTTATCTTCTTTGGTCTACAAAATTTGGAGAACAACTGATTACAATGTACTTTTTAGTACCCCCAGCCTTGCTAAGGAATTGTAATTGGTTTAACTCTATGATTTTCAAATGTGTTCATTCAAGGGCTATTCATAGTCCCCATAGTTGTTTAGATCCTTGGCCTAATTAAAAAAAAAAAAGGCATTAAGTTTTTCATGTATTTGACTGTACAGCATAAGATAATAACATCGTTAACCCTTAAAAAGAGAGACCTTTCCCATCTGACTGTGCTTATTCACTTATTTTTATGAATTTATGTTTGTATTTCAATTAACAAATATTTAGTTAGATTCTACTGTGTGCCAGCACTGCACTAGACACCTGATTAAAAAAAAAAAACATTTTTTTAAAAAAAGCAGTGAACAAGGCATGACAGACAAAGAATCTGCTTGCATGAAGCCTAGAGAGAGTTTGGAGCAATAAACAAAACACATAATATTTAAGTTACAAACTGAAATCATTGTTATGCCAGAAATAAATGGAAAGCAGGAGAGAAAATAATGGGGATGAGAGGTGGGGAGGTTGAGGGAAGTGTTAGGCAAATTACATAAGGCATCTCTGAGGAAGTGACATTTAAGCAACACCTGAAGGAAGAAAAGGAACCAGTCACTCAAATTGCTGGAGCTGCATAATGCAGGCAGAAAGAATAGCAGTGCAGAGGCCCTGCTATGGAAAAGAACATGCATGAGTCATTGAGCCTGTAGCTGGACACTGGTGAGCAACTGGGGCTTGGAGGGAGAATTACAGGTCTGAAGATGCAGGGTTTTTCTAATTTGCATATTCTCAGGGTGGAACAGGGCACTGTTACAAGGTACGTAAGCAAAGAGCTAGCATGATCTCTACATGTTTCAAAAGATAACCCTGGTTGCTGTAAGAAGAACCTATGGAAAGGAGATATGACCAAAATAAGAAGACAATCTAGCAGAACATTAGAGTAATCCAAACAAGAGATATATGTAGCTTAGCCTTGAGTGTTGGTTATGTAGCTATCAATAACTAGAGATGAGAGACAATTAGGAGGTAGAAATGAAAGAATTTTGTGATGGTTTGGATTGGAAATGGAGGAATTATGTATGATCCTTAAGTTTCTGCCTCAAGTCTTACATGATAGTTCTATTTACTAAGAAAGAAAAATTGTTGAAGTACCAGTTCTATCTTCATTAGGTTAATTTCATGATATTTATGTGACACCCCAGTGGAGATGATAAATAGGCATTTGATTATACTGATTTATACTGATGTGAAGCTGTTATATAAATGAGCCAAAGATGGCCTCTGCGTATTGGCCCCCAGGTTGTTACTTCCTCAATATAGGCTGACACCCACTAGCCCAAAAGCCCACCAGGGGATTAAATCAAATGTTTACACATGCATTTGTTTTTAAAATAGGCTACATAAACATATTTTTAGCCATTTAAAATCTGGCTGTTTTGCATATCCCACAAAACTTCACCCCACATCTGCTAGCAGTAGCTAAATCCCATGGGTCATAAAGACCCAAGCCACTACTGCCTTTTGGAGCTCTTTGACACAGACTCCCCACCATGCCACTGAGCAACATTGCCTTAACACATAAGCCCCCTCTCTCCTAGGAGTTCCCTTGCACTCCTTCCCTTCTGAGTGGTGACCCTGACCCTTAGCTACTAGACAGACTCCTGCTGTGAAGGACTTCCTCCACGTGAGAACCTGTCAAAGCAGCCCCCGGTAAAGCTACTGCCACCTTTATTTTTTTCCCCTTGATCAACCACAAAATCCCCTACAAAAGCTCAGAAAGATATACCCTGGAGATATCTATCTGGATGGAAATAATTAGCATAGGGATGGAAATACTTAGCATAGAGATGAAATTAAGGCCAAAAGAATCAATGATACTACTTCAGGAAGAGTGCCTAAAAATAAGGTAGGAGGGCCGCACTAAATCTGACGTGTTATAAAATTTGAGATCCAGTAAAAAGGAAAAATATACAAATATTACCACTTGATCAATTTCTATTTATATTTTACTCAGGCCACACGTTGGCTTCTTTGAGATAAAACTGTCTCCTTCCCTCCCCAGTCAGGATGGTTAGAATGACCGCCTTGTTTTCTGTTTCTATGACTTTTCTATATAATTGCTTTGCCACATATTATTGAAAGTCTCTGATTGTCTGTCTTCATATGGTGCTGTCCTTGGAGGCAGAACGTGTGTTCATCTCTAAATTCGAGGAATCTAGCACAGCACCTGACACACAGGGCAAAATAAATATTTTCTGAATGAATGGGCAATCTGAACATATTAGAATAGCTGTGGAAAAGGCTCATGATGATAATGTAGTGATAGAGGACTTCAAATGACTGGGGAAGGTTAGGATACTTTTCATTTTCATGATGATGGTATTACTATCCATTCTTTCTTCTCAATGTGAAGTTAGATTCTAGCCTTATCTAAACAAAGACATTAGGATATTGAACTCACATGTATTGTACCACAGGAATAATATAGGGAGAAAATGGAATAATATAAAAATATCTCAAGCAATTAGCAAGGCACCTAGTTCCATAAAAACTCAAGATGGCATAATTGAGGGCTAGTTTAAATTTTATCTTATAATATTATTATATTAATTTGGTTTTGATTTCTTAAATGTAAAATAAAAGAAAAAATAGGATTTTAGGTCAACTTATATAAGATCTGAATCTGAGATGATTTTCTATTCCTAATTAGAACCCCCCTTTGTGATATCAGTGCTGTTATTTTTTTACTTTTATTTAAGGGAGCAAGGTTGGTCCAAGCATGTTATGACTTAGGTTATTGCTTCCACCTATTTTTTACCAAGATACTTGTTCATAGTTCATAATTTGGCCATTGAAAACCAAAACTAACTAATATTGTGAAGTCTGTGACCTCTACATCATGGCATTTACTGATTAAGGTAGAATAAGAGTTAATAAGTACTTCATAGCAAAAATAAATAGCTGGAATGCATAAAAGATCATGGAGGCTAATTGAGTGATACAAACATACCCACAAAAGATCTCTGGAAAAATGATGATACAATATCCTCTACTTCTTTAGCTATGAAACAAAGTTGGTTGCAATACATGTCATACATTAAATGAAAACTTTTTGTATAAAATATAATCAGCAATTTTTTGAATATTGATTATGAGAAGCGCCTGATTTCAGAATTTAGAAACTAAGTGCATCTTATAATCTATTTTTTAATCCTGTGCATCACAACTAATAACTGAAGACGATTCATATCTATGGCAGGGAGGAATGGTTAACAAACATTGGAGTTCTGTATCATGTTATATAATTATCTACAATTATAGATAATTATAGATAATTACACATTAGCTTACATAAACACCATGTTTCTTTGACTTGTCGATATCTGTTTTTGAAAATACTAAGGTTGATCCCTCCTTTGAAATATAAAACAAGTAATATTATAAACCTAAGTATGAAAACCCTCACACACTAAGTTGTTATTATTGCTCTCAGTAAACATATTTTCAGAATGATTTACCATATATAAAATACTTTCACCATCATTTTTCATTGATCTTATTTTATCCTCAGACTCATAAGAGTAAAGGTTGTAAAGACGATAAAGATCAATTGCATATTTAAATTTTTACCATATGGGCCAGGCACAGTGGCTCACACCTGTCATCCCAGCACTTTGGGAGGCCGAGGCGGGTGGATCACCTGAGGTCAGGAGTTCAAGACCACTCTGGCCAATATGGTGAAACCCCATCTCTATAAACATACAAAAATTAGCCGGGCATGGTGGTGGGTGCCTGTAATCCCAACTACTTGGGAAGCTGAGAAGGGAGAATTACTTGAACCCCGGAGGAGGAGGTTGCAGTGAGCCAAGATCACGCCACTGCACTCCAGCCTGGGCGACTGAGTGAGACTCAGTCTCAAAAAATAAATAAATAAATAAAATTGTAGCATATATATTCATTTTCTGCTTGTTCTTTGCTAATAAAAAGTCAGACACAAAAGAGCTCAAATATATAATAAACTTTTCTGGTTGCATACATAGGTGAGTGAAATATGTTTTTCTGGGAGGTAAAGATGATATGGGAACTGGGGAACTCCAAGGACTTTTCTGAACATATGTGAAAGCCAAATTACAGAGGCTATGTTCTTCACAACTTTATAAGTTCAAGAAACCAGGATAATCATTTTCTTAATAATGGACAAATGAATAACATGTATTGACATGTGTCTCCATAATTACCAAATGCTATTTTTTTGCACACCCCAAATAATGATGTTTCTGTATTTTTTTAACTGACAAAAAGCAACACAGAAGAAAAGAAAGTAGTTGTCCTTGGAGGAAAAGACATATACTGTGAAATATGGCCCTGAAAGCATCTGCCTACTCCTCTGGATCTGGGAGCCAAGGGATCTGGACACAAACTGTGTTAAGAGACTTGTTACTCTGGGAGCTCAGTGTTCATTGTAGAAAACAATACCTCTGTTTATAGCAGTGTGTGCTCATTTACATAACATTCCTATAACTAAAAACTGCCAGAAAGAAAGATTGCCATTATGTGGAAGTATTAATGTTTTGTAGCTGAGCCACAGGAATTGTCCAAGATCACACCATAGAGTGATTGAACGCAGTTCTAAGTACTTTATATGGACTGACTCGTTTAATCCTTTAAAACCTTATGAATAGATATTAGGTTATCTTGATTTTACAAATAAAAGGACTGAGACTCAGAGATTAAATAACTTGCCACAGTTATACAACTGGTAAATGATAAGATGGATACAAGCACAGGAAACTGTTCAAGGAACAAAAATATATGTGTTTACTAAAAGGAATATGAGTGATGCCGCCATACCACCCTCCATACCACCATCACAATCATCAGCCTAACTGTTGTGGTTCTACTTAAGGTAGATATTGAGGATGTTATTAAAGGTTATATTTTTAAAAAGTGATTCATTATCAAAGGTATTGGAAACATGATGTTAAAGATTTCTTTCTTGACAAATGTCTCTAAGCCTTTAATGTGTTATTATGCTCCTTAGGTCTTTCAGAGATGTATCTGACCAACACATTTAACTACCAATTTCTTCTCCACCAACTTCCACACACAGTTACATCTTTTGGGGATAACATTCAAGGAAACACTTTGAAAATATTAACCTGAAATATCCATAGGTTATCCATCTGCTATTTCAAAGCTCCAAGGACTACTCAAATACCTTTTTTTTTTTATGGCTGCCAAAGTATTTTGTTGTTGTTGTTTTATGTTTTTGTTTTTAAATTTTTTTTTTTAGGTTCAAGTGTACATGTCCAGGTTTCTTATGTAGGTACATTCATCTCACAAGAGTTTGTTGTACAGATTTTTTTTAAATCACTCAGGTGCTAAGCCTAGTACCCAATAGTTAGTTTTCTGATCCTCTTCCTTCTCCCAACCCCCACCCTCTGATAGACCCTAATGTGTGCTTTTCCCATTCTATGTGTCCATATGTTCTCATTATTTAGCTACCACTTATAAGTGAGAACATGTGATATTTCATTTTCTGTTTCTGCATTAGTTTGCTAAGTATGGTGGCCTCCAGTTCCATCCATGTTCCTTCATAGGACAGGATCTCATTTTTTATGGCTGCATAGTATTCCATGATGTATATGTTCCACATTTTCTTTATTCAATTTTTCATTGATGGGCATTTAGGTTGATTCCATGTCTTTGCTATTGTGAATAGTGCTGCAAAGAATGTTGGCATGCATGTGTCTTTATGGTAGAATAATTTTTATTCTTTTGAGTATATACCCAGTAATGAGATTGCTGGGTTGAATAGTAATTCTGTTTTTAGCTCTTCAAGGAATCACCACACTGCTTCACTGCTTTCCACAGTGGTTGAACTAATTTACACTCCCACAAGTAGTATATAAGTATTCCCTTTTCTCCACAACCTTGCCAGCACCTGTTATTTTTTGACTTTTTAATAATAGCCATCCTGACTAGTATAAGATGGTATCTCTTTATTTTTTTGATTTGCACTTCTCTAATGATTAGTGATACTGAGCTTTTCTTCATATGCTTGTTGGCCACATGTATGTCTTCTTTAGAAAAGTGTCTGTTCATGTCTTTTGCCTACTTTTTAAAGGGGTTGTTTTTGTTTCTTGTATATTTGCTCAAAGTTCCTTGTAATTTCTGGATATTAGACCTTTGTCAGAGCACAATTTGTAAATAAATACTTTCTCCCATTCTGTAGGTTGTGTTTACTCTGTTGATAGTTTCTTTTGCTGTACAGAAGCTCTTAAGTTTAATTAGATTCCATTTGTCAATTCTTGCTTTTATTACTATTGCTTTTAGGGTCTTTTTCATGAAATGTTTGCCAATTTCTATGTCCACAATGATATTGCCTAAGTTGTCTTCCAGGGATTTTATAATTCAGGGTTTTACATTTAAGTCTTTAATCCATTGTTACTTGATTATTTTTAATATGGTGTAAGAAAGGGGTCCAGTTTCAATCATCTGCATAAGGCTAGCCAGTTATCCCAGCACCATTTTTGAATCAGGAGTCCTTTCCCCATTGCTTGTTTTTGTTGGCTTTGTCAAAGAATAGATGGTTGTAGGTGTGTGGCCTTATTTCTGGTCTCTCTATTCTGTGCCATTGGTCTATGTGTCTGCTTTCATACCAGAACCATGCTGTTTTGGTTACTATAGCCCTATAGTATAGTTTGAAGTCAAGTAACTTGATGCCCCCAGCTTTGTTCTTTTTGCTTATGATTGCCTTGGCTATTTGGGCTCTATTTTGGTTCCATATAAATTTTAAAATAATGTTACTAGTTGTGTGAAGAATGTCATTGGTAGTTTGATAGGAATAGCATTGAATCTGTAAATTGCTTTTGGCAGTATGACCATTTTAATGATATTGATTCTTCCTATCCATGAGCATGGAATGTGTTTTCATTTGTTTGTGTCATTTCTGATTTCTTTGAGCAGTGTTTTGTAATTCTCATTGCAGAGATCTTTCACCTTCCTAGTGGGCTGTATTCCTAGGTATTTTATTCTTTTTGTGGCTATTATGAATGGGATTGTGTTCTTGATTTGGCTTTGGCATGGCTGCTCTTAGGGTGTATAGGAATTGATTTTTGTACATTGATTTCATGTCCTGAAACTTTGCTGAAGTTGTTTTTCAGATCAAGGAGATTTGGGGCTGAAGTTATAGGGCTTTCTGGAGGTAGAATTATGTTGTCTGCAAACAAGGATAGTTTGACTTCCTCTCCTATTTGGATGCCCTTTGTTTCTTTCTCTTGCCTGATTGCTCTGGCCAGGGTTTCCAATACTGTGTTGAATAGGAGTGGTGAGAGAGTGCATCCTTGTCTTATGCCTGTTTTCAAAGGGAATGCTTCCAGCTTTTGCCCATTCTGTATGATGTCAGCTGTGGTTTGTCATAGATGGCTCTTGTTATTCTGAGGCATATTCATTCAATACCCAGTTTATTGAGAGTTTTTAACATGAAACCTTGCTAAATTTTATCATAAAAAATTTCCTTTCTCATTCCCAGAAGAAATTTTTCATATCAAATCTTTTTGAAACTTTTATATACAGAATTTGCTTGATATTTCTGATATAAGCTATAACTAGGGAAATAAAAATATACAGTGTGTGTATATGTATATACATATCAGAACATACATATCAGAATATATATGTATACATGCACACATATCAGTATTTACACACTCAAGCTCTCTTTTAAGTGGCCACCTTTGTGAGCCATGCATCTCCCAAATAATTTTTAAATGTCATTTTTGGCACTGGATGTAAAAACCACATTTTAAGTATTTTCACAATGGTTTTATCCTTTCAGGGTGGAAAACATTTCTTTAATGAACCAAAACTATTTGGGACAAGTAGGAATTTAGACTATAAAGTAATAAAATGTATTTTCTTATGAGACGTATATTGATTCTTAGAACAGTTCCAAAAGTGGATTAGAACATATTTGTTGGAACATGATGGCATTATTTATGTAGGCACATAGGCTCATGACATGCCTGCTTTGTGGAATTAAATGCAACTTATAATTTTTATTTAAAATTTATTATTCTTTTTTTTTTTTTTGATGTGGAGTCTCACTCTGTCACCCAGGCTGGAGTACATTGGTGTGATTTCAGCTCACTGCAACCTCTGCTCCCAGGCTCAAGCCATCCTCCCACCTCAGCCTCCCCAGTAGCTGGGACCACAGGCACACTCCACCATGCCCGGCTAACCTTTTTTTTTTTTTTTAATATAGAAACAGAGTTTCAGCTTGTTGCCCAGGCTTGTCTTGAACTCCTGGGCTCAAGCAATCCGCCTGCCTTGGACTCCAAAAGTGCTGGGATTATAGGTGTGAGCCACAGCGCCTGGCCTAAAAATTATTCTTAGTACATTAAGTGAAGAGTTATGTATTTCAGTGCATTCAAGTAAATGATTTAAATATGTCAAATTATCAGGTATAAGACAAAGGTAATAGGTGATATAATGGCAAATAAAAAAGTGAATGACCTATCTTCCAGGTATTTAAGGTACAAATAAAATATAAAAAATAAAAAATTTCACTATACGAAACAAAGAAAACAGAAATTTTTCTGTTACAGAAGTAGGGAATAGGAACTGGGATTATTTTCTGTTTTAGTTTGAGGTGTCCCTCATGGTATGTCATCAGAACTCTAGAGCTCCGTAGACATGTTAATAGTATAATTAGAAAGGGAATCTCAGGCGGCATACAAACAAGCTACCTCATCTCTCCAAATCTCAGTTCCCACATCTCTAAAATTGTAGAATTGAGAGGACTAAATGTGACAAAACAAAGAATGTACTTAATCCAATTTCCAGCACTGCCCTAATTGAATGATAATAATTTATCTCATAACTAGAATTTAAATATCATGATGTTTCAATTTGTGAAAGCATGGCTTGGCCTCTATCTCTATCTTTGCATAGAACTTTTAATATTCTTTCTATCAGCCCTTTAACCAATGTCTACTAAACATATTGTAAGTACAGACCACTATGCCAGAGACTAGGGATACAAAGATGAAACAGATCAGTTGTGTTTTCAAAGAGCTTATGGTTGACCAGAGAAATGAAGCTCATAGCATGTTATAATACCAGTGAGAGAAATAGCTAAGAAAGATACACATGAAAAGCTATAGATTCTTACAGAGTAAGAGGCTAATTCTGACAAGGTTACATGCTAAGGGATGATGAAATGAAGAATTGGAGGATACCTTGAGTGGAAATGTTTAAAAAGAGATGCTTTAATAGGAAGAAAGAATGGAGACCCAAAAGTACAGAGTATTTTCAGGGACCTGCAATTAGTTCAGTTGGTTTACAGTTTCAAGTTGCTTAAAGAAAGTCAAGATTAGAGTGTAGACTTCAGACAGATTTGTGAGGTCTGAAATACTGAGTGAACAGAAATGTGCTTTATTTAATAGGCAATGGTGAGCCAGTGAAAGCTTTTGAATATGAGAGTGGCATGCTAACTGCTGTATTTTAGGAAGCCTAACCTAAAAGCACCCCATAGTGTGTGTTGCAGAGAGAAAATATTGGAAGCAAGAGACTGATACAGAACTTACTGAAGTAATCCATAGGAAAATGGAGGTGCATCTCTGACAATGGAGGGAAGAGCTTAATGGTGATTGAAAACTGGGAAGGCAGAGCACTTCTTTGGAGGTTGTGTTCCCATAGCATACACAAGAATATAACTTAGATTTTATGCTTTTGTGGGGGTGGTTTTGAGCATACTAACAGATAACCAAGTAGAGGTTTCAGATCAATTGAAGGAGTAATAAAGAGGAGTTTGTCTAAGAAAGTAGCAACAAAACTGAAAGACTTTGTAAGTCTGAAGTTGAAATCACCAATTCATCTGTTTTCTGCCTTTGAATGCCATCTTTCTTTACTGTTTGCTACTTGGCCACGTCCAAAATTTCTTACCTGATCTCTGGTATGTCTATTCAAGAAAGGTTTTCATCACATCGTTTTTCTTCTGTGACATTGAGGATGAATGGATCCAGTTCAGCTAGCAAAGAAAAAGAAGTGCTCTGTCTTTTACAGGGCTGTTGGTCATTCTCAGGATAAGAGAGTAAATCCTTTTGGGTCAGCAACTATCTATTGTGTTGAATCCAACCTTCTTAAGCCAGACAGTTATGAGTAACAATGATGGGTCCTTAGAGAACAGTGAAAATCCAGACTCACTAAGCATTCAATAGCCTTGTGTGGTATACAAAAGAGTAGGACATTAAGCGACCAGTGGAATGTTTTTGTATTTGAATTGGTCTTAGGTGTTGGGTTACACACTGTGAAATGAAAATTTATTCAAGTCATAGAATCTCTTATAGTCAGTGTCTTAAATAACTGAATAATTACTTTCCTACAATATGAATGACTGAAAGATTATTCTACGGCATTTTACTTTATGTATATTTAAACTTTTTATGGAAATATTTAGACCTACACTAAACTACAGAGGTATAGTATAATGTATACCATGTACCCTTTACTCTGCTGCAATAATTATCAACATTATGGCAAATGCTGCCAAGTTTTTTTTATTATTCCTCATACTTTTTATCTAATATTTTAAAGCAAATATCAAACTTGTTATTTGAAAATTATTCAGTATGCATCTCTAACTGATAATTATTTTGACATAATGAGCATGCCTTTCTCATACCACAGATTCTTAGTATCATCCATTACGCATTTCACCAATTGTGCCAAAAATGCCCATTTACAGTTAGTTTGTTCAAATCAAAATCCAAACAAGGTCCACACATCACTTTTGGTTACTATGTCTGTACATATTATGGTTTGATTATTTGGTTATTATATCTATAACAGTCCCCTCTTCTTTTTTCTGGACATTTATTTATCAGAAAAACACTTTATTTTATGTTTTATAACCAGGTTGTCACACCATTTTCCAATTCTAAAGCAATATCATAACTATCATAACTCATTCAACATTTATTTAACTACTGTATAATGAACAATTACTATGTACAGGACAGTGTACTACTAGGTGCTGAGTGTGATTCAAAGATGTCTGTAAATCATGGTCCCTACCCCCAAGACTTTACCATCTGAGGAAAAGGAAAAATAAAAATGCACAAATAAAATGACAACATGACAGCAGAACTTAAGTAGTATAGGGACTATCATTTCAAAAGCAGAAGTATGGTTTGGAAGATGAGGGGTGGCCTTTTTGGAAGAGTTAGCATGTGAGATGGATGAGTTACAGTGACCAGCAATTCAAGAGGAGGTTGGATTGGGAGAAGGGTAAAAAGAGAAAGCTCAATCTGTGATAGAAAAATGTTCATTCTATAGATTTTAAGAGGGAAAAAGACATAAATATTAGAGGTGAGGAAAGTAAGAAATATATTCAAGAAATTATAAGTAAAATAATTCAGCAGAAGCAGAATATTTATGAAAGAGATATGCCTAAAAGATAAGTAGAGGACAGCTTTGGCAGGATATTGAATGGCAAGCTAAAAAGCTTGAACAGTGTCCTTTAGAGCAGGCAGTCACTAAGCTATATTCATTTTTCCATATATGGGAGACTGTAGGACATTATGTAAACATAGATATTTAATTAGTAAGCAAAATGCATCAGCTCATTTCATAAGGGAACTTAAAAAACTGTTTATGTATTCCAATAGCAATCATTTTCAAATATTTACAGCAAATTCACAAGATAATTTAATGTTTTATTTTGCCCAACAGCTAGATGCTCCACTTAGAGGAATGCAAACAAATTGGAGCTGATTTAACCAGCACCTACTGTATAGCAGCTGAGAGAACTTCATAAAGCAAGTATTAGTTGTTTGTAGCACATTAAGACAACAACAACAACTCGACACATTTAACATAGGAGAGACAGAAGATAACTCTATTAAAGATAGATACATTAGCTCTGCAAACCTCAAACTCCAAACTTTTCATCTATTATAAAAATATGTTGAAGTTTATAATATTTTTCTGCTTCTCAGCTATAATTATATATGTTGAACTATAAATTCTCTCTTTACCAGAATAATGCTAATTGATTTTTACTGTTAAAAGATCTTCAAATGACAGCTCAATTATCAAAGTCATCAAAGAAAGTATATGTTGAACTTTTGGTGTTTTAGACATGAAGTCCTTGCCCATGCCTATGCCCTGAATGGTAATGCCTAGGTTTTCTTCCAGGGTTTTTATGGTTTTAGGTCTAAGGCTTAAGTCTTTAATCCATCTTGAATTGATTTTTGTATAAGGTGTAAGGAAGGGATCCAGTTTCAGCTTTCTATATATGGCTAGCCAGTTTTCCCAGCACCATTTATTAAATAGGGAATCCTTTCCCCATTGCTTGTTTTTCTCAGATTTGTCAAAGATCAGATAGTTGTAGATATGCGGCATTATTTCTGAGGGCTCTGTTCTGTTCCATTGATCTATATCTCTGTTTTGGTACCAGTACCATGCTGTTTTGGTTACTGTAGCCTTGTAGTATAGTTTGAAGTCAGGTAGTGTGATGCCTCCAGCTTTGTTCTTTTGGCTCAGGATTGACTTGGTGATGCGGGCTCTTTTTTGGTTCCATATGAACTTTAAAGTAGCTTTCTCCAATTCTGAGAAGAAAGTCATTGGTAGCTTGATGGGGAAGACATTGAATCTGTAAATTACCTTGGGCAGTAATGGCAACCAAAGCCAAAATTGACAAATGGGATCTAATTAAACTAAAGAGCTTCTGCACAGCAAAAGAAACTACCATCAGAGTGAACAGGCAACCTACAAAATGGGAGAAAATTTTCGCAACCTACTCATCTGAAAAGGGCTAATATCCAGAATCTACAATGAACTCAAACAAATTTACAAGAAAAAAACAAACACCCCCATCAAAAAGTGGGCAAAGGACATGAACAGACACTTCTCAAAAGAAGACATTTATGCTGCCAAAAAACACATGAAAAAATGCTCACCATCACTGGCCATCAGAGAAATGCAAATCAAAACCACAATGAGATACCATCTCACACCAGTTAGAATGGCGATCATTAAAAAGTCAGGAAACAACAGGTGCTGGAGAGGATTTGGAGAAATAGGAACACTTTTACACTGTTGGTGGGACTGTAAACTAGTTCAACCATTGTGGAAGTCAGTGTGGCGATTCTTCAGGGATCTAGAACTAGAAATACCATTTGACCCAGCCATCCCATTACTGGGTATATACCCAAAGGACTATAAATCATGCTGCTATAAAGACACACGCACACATATGTTTATTGTGGCATAATTCACAATAGCAAAGACTTGGAACCAACCCAAATGTCCAACAATGATAGACTGGATTAAGAAAATGTGGCACATATACACCACAGAATACTATGCAGCCATAAAAAATGATGAGTTCATGTCCTTTGTAGGGACATGGATGAAACTGGAAACCATCATTCTCAGCAAACTATCGCAAGAACAAAAAAACAAACACCGCATATTCTCACTCATAGGTGGAAATTGAACAATGAGAACACATGGCCACAGGAAGAGGAACATCACACTCTGGGTACTGTTGTGGGGTGGGGGGACAGGGGTGGGATAGCATTGGGAGATATACTTAATGCTAGATGACGAGTTAGTGGGTACAGCACACCAGCATGGCACATGTATACGTATGTAACAAACCTGCACATTGTGCACATGTACCCTACAACTTAAAGTATAATAATAATAAATAAAAAAAGAAAAAAGTATATGTTGAACTTAATGTAGCTTTATTGGTTAGTGTCTTCTTGTATGTTTATTCAACAAATAGTGACCTAGATATTCTATGTCACATAGGTTTTTTAATATTTTTGAGTGCCCATGCATATACCAGCCTTTGTGCTAGGCCTTTTGAAGAAATAAAATTATGCATGAGATGTGGTCCTAGTATTTCAAAGGCTTGTATTCTACTACAGATGATTAACACATACATATAGAAGTAAAATTATAGGCAGGTTTGAAATAGAGGTGTAAGATTGAATTAGGTTAGGATTTTTCAACAGCAACACTACTGACATTTTGAATCAGATACTTCTTAGTGGTGGAGAGCCATCGTATATATTGTGGAATATTTAGCAGCATCTCTGACCTCTATCCATTAGATGCCAATAGCATCTGCCCAGTTGTGACAACCAAAACTGTCTCCAGACATTGCCAAATGTCCCCTGGGAGCTGAGTGCAAAATCACATGCAGTATTGAGTCACAAGATTAGATGGAAAGTCCTATATACATTTTGTTAATGAGAACAATTTCCATTTGAGGAATCAAGGGAAGTCCATAAAGGTATGAGGACTAATATGAATAGGTTGAGAAGAGGAGAGCATTTCAAGAACAGAGAAGGTGGCTAAACTCCAGATGGGGAGACAAATTAATAAGTTTAAATTATGTTCAGGAGTCATAGAATTCAATGTTTTAGAGGTGATTAGTAAATAAAACCTGATACAGTAAATAGAAATCAAATTATGGAGGTTCTTGAAAGTAAAGTAAAGAGGATGTTTCTCATTTTGCAGATGTCATTTGAACATGTAAATGAAATGAATAAAGCATCATTTTCAAAATGTTATAATGGCAGTTCTGGGAAGAATGATTTGACCATACAAAAAAGTTCATTTTAGGTGTGGGATTCCATTAAAAACATAATTTGAAAGAAACTACGGAATATTGTGGAATATGTATTTCCCAGCATAGGATAAGAAAGGAAGACAAGTGAAAAAGTTAACTCTATAATTTTCTTCTATGTTTGATCTTGGAAATTGTTGTTGAGCTTGATTTCTTGTAATACAGTTGATACCTGATGCTAGACCTGTTTGGGAGATGTACTCAGATTCTCTGCGACTCCATAAAGTGAAAAGTTGTAACTGATGAATTAGAATGGTAAAGGAAAAGATGATATCATTCTCAATAATAAATCTCCAGTGACCTAGAAACTATGAATATAGGCTTTTTAATAATGATTTTTATTTAACAAGTTTTGAAAGTTTGTTTGTGTGATGGGAACCTCAACATGGATAGTAGGTATGTAAAGAACACCTTTTCTGTTCCAGGCCTTGAGATTTAAGTTGAATTATCTTGTTGAAGAAAAATAATTATTAAAAAGCCTAGATTTAGTCATTCATTTCAGTTTATCTTCATTTCCCCCTTTGCAACATGAAACATTAGGGCAGGACAAAATTCAATTTCAGGTGATATGCAACCATAATACTAGAACCCCTGAGAAGCCCCTAAATGTGCACTTAAGTAAATTTACACTTGGTCAGTAACCATACTGTTCATTCCCTCTAAAAAGATGTATTATCCCTTTGAACACTAAATCCTTTCATTTGCAGACATTACGGTTTTAAAATTAGGGAGAAAAAGAAGCAACTGACAGAGACAGACCAGTCATCACTTCCCTTTTATCTTCACGTCTTCTCCCATTCTTGCCCAAGTCATTCTGACTTGGATATGAGAAAAGGGCATTTTCTGAAATCATAGAGACCTTCTATTCTTTGTTTACCAATGGGCTGGTATACTTATTTTAGAAATTCTTAAACTGCATTTTTAAAATGATGACTACATTTAGTTGTCATCAAAAAATTAAAACATACTTTTTGAAAAATGCTGATGCAATGAAGTAATGAGATTAATTGGATAGTAAGAAATGAAAACCTAGGAAAATTGATGGAGAAAATTTCATCTCAAGCACAGGAATTTTGATTTTGTTAAAAAAAGAAAACTAGTTTCATAAGCAAGAAATTACCCATGTTGGAAAATTACAAGAAAGCTTCTTTTTTTGGCAGTTAGCTATAAAATAGATAATAATTGGAAGGAACTTAAATAAAGTGAGACAAGTTAAGAGGCTGCTGCAATAAGCCAGATGTTGTTCATTTATCAAAAGCAATTTTTAAGTATCCACAGTATTAATGACACTTTATTAGATACAAATTAATGCTTACTTGAACTAGGGCAGTGACTACAGAAATGGAAATTATCCTATTGAATATTAATACACTGATTAAATCAACTCTGAGCCCATTTTTTCTTGAGACCTTTATGCCTACGTTTACAGATTTTACATATTTGAAACTGCTCTGCAGTTTGTAGATGCTTTCCTAAAATAAATTGAATCAAAAATCATGGGGAGAATTTAGCTAATAGTTACAGATCAACTGTTTGTCAGTCTCTACCAAGATGGCAATTTTCGGAGTTAAACAACACCAGTGTCTATTAGGACAGGGAAAGACAATGGAGAGCAATGCAACACCACAGGTTTCATCAAAGGCTCTATTTTTGTCAGTCACCAGAGAATTGAAATCCATCCCAGTCCAGTAAGAATGCTTTTAGTGAGTTGTGAGCATGTTCATTAAAAGAAATGAATGAAACCAAATGGCTACCATTATTGATTATTTCTGTCCTTGTGGCTTTAGACTGGAAGTGGTTTCCAAGGGTCCCAAAAGCCATTTCCAACTTTTTTTTTTTTAATTTGATCTGCAGCATTGTGGACACAAGTCATTCTAGCCACATCTGATCTGTCTGACCCGGCCACTGGGAGTGATTGTTGACAAATAAAGGAACTGCATTTGAAAGCCTTTTTAAATCCTTCTATATAATTTTAAGTTTATATTGAACTAAATAAAAAACAAAAACAATTTTAGTCCCAACTCTGACTTAGACTTAAAGCATACGTAGCTCAGTGTGAAATCTAAAAATGTGGTTAATAAATGACGTCTCTGCCATTGTCCCAGTTTATCAACATAATGTTCACCACTTAGAATTTTTAAAGTAATATTAATTACAGTATTAATTACAATGGCATGCTATTTTGGTACTTTATAAAACTTAAATGATACAAATGAGTATTATGTAAGTCCTTTTTGAGAGGACTTCTGGAAGATATAAACATCAGTGAACATATGGAACTATTTTCAACACTTGAGTAATATAAAGGTATCTCAATCTATATATTAATATATACTCTTTTAATAAAGAATTGCCCTTGGGCTCCAGTGTTTGTTTGCTCATTCTTATATTTGGCAAACATGTGTGGATACATCTATTATGTGTTAAGTGCAGTACAAGGGACTGGGCACATGAGGATGTGCAAGACAGAGTTCCCCATTTTTAAGGAGTTGATGTTCTCATAAAGGAGAAAAAATTAAAATGGCACATGCAGAAAAATAGAAAAAGTGCTACTGTAGATATGAGCACTTAGGAGAATACCTAAGCCAGATTGCAGATTTTGTATTTTAATGTTGTTTTTTCTTTTTCCAGTATATTTAAAATTCTGACAATAATCTTAGAAATTACCTATAAAAGTGGCAGTGTGAACATGTGGCATCTGTAAATTGTTCAATATCCTCACAGTGTGTAAAGGGTCTGTAGGGATCTATAGCAACAATTATTTTTAAAATAAGTTCATCAAATACTTCCCATATTTTGACATTCTTATGAGATCTTTTGAAGCCCTCCACATTTCATATTTCGAGAGTATCTTTCTCAGTCAAAATTATTGTATTTTCCCCCCCTGTTTCTCTATTTTTCTCTAAACAAGTAAGTTTGGAAACAGTTCTTTTATTTGGCTGGTAAATACAATTTATCTGCTTTTGGAAGAAAAATAAGAAACACTAAATTACCTGTGGTGCATTTTCTGCTTCTGTAAATGGGTCACACTTTGTCAAATTCTGAATATAGTAAGCCTTTGTGGAGTTCTGTTTTTCTCAAATACTAGGTTGCTGCACTGGATATCAAAGGGTAATTTATTTTGTTATAAGTAGGCTTTTACTCAGTTCTTTTTTTAACCTCAAAACATGAATACTTCAAAAGAGGTAACTGAGAGATAAATTAGAATTTTTAAGCAAAGAGAATATTAATTTTCATTTATATTTGTGTAATTGCACACTGCCCTTCATGTATGGGAAAACTATTATTGTGACCTGAGATCTGTGGGATATCTGCTTTGTTAATTTTCGTGTGGCAGCGATGAATTTGAGGTGAACCACCCCTGAGAAAATGTGCAGTGACCCTGCCAGAAGAAGTAGCTTCAACCAACAGAGCAATGAAAATTAACCATCTTCATAGGGATTGACCTAAAGCATAGGCAACAACAGAATTACATATAAACAAAAGTAGAAAATACATGCAATCAAGAATATGCCATTCACAATCAATTGCCTGAAAGTTTTAAATTTCATATGAACTTTTACTTTTTGATTTCTAAATTATTTTTCAAAATTGTTTATGCTTTAATCTTATTTGTTAGGATGAACTAACGTATTCTACTAAATTTCTCAACCAAGATAATAAAATATGATCTGTGCACATTCTAATTCATGAAGTATTTTTATTCTAGTAAAACGCCTAGTACAATGCATGAAGTATAAAGTCTCCTTAAGTGTTTTCTTCCTCCTTTACTGCACTGATATTTATCATGATAAATTATTTGAGTTTACTAGATTCTCATACTAGGACTTTCTTCTAAAGTATCACATATCACTTTCTTCTAAAGATCATTTGGTATCCAAATAACATTTAGGTATATCAAAATTTATTTTGACTACAAGTTTCTATTGGCCATACTCATAATACTTGGTGCCAATCCTTTCACATAGTCCTATCTTCTTTTAAGAAATTTTCATAATGATGAAAAAACAGTAGCAGAAGCAATGTTAAACAAAAGGATAAAGGGCATGTAAGTGGACACTAGTACCTTCATCTAGAAACCAACTTTTACCTTGTTCTCTGTTTATGTTTATTCTCATGTCCCTTTCAAAATCTATATTTACATCACAAAAGAGTTTCACAGATAGTCTTTGAACCAGTTATCAGTTGGATGCTCTTGCGGATTGATTTATAGTTTTCTTCTCTCCTCTAGTTTTGATGAAATGACCATTCCTAAGGAAAAGCCACTGGAGACAAACTCAGAATCCAGACTCACATTCAGACGATTTGTGTTTTCCCCATAACCACCGTCCTAGATTCAGGTTTCCATTGCCCTACACTCAAGTTGTTTAACAAAATAACTAACTTACGTCTCCATTTCCAATCCCCTTTCCATCTGATTGATCTATGGACACAAAGCTTTAGAAGGATTTCTGCCATATTGTTGCTCCCAGCTTAAAAATTTAAATGATCTCCTATTTCTATCAAGTCAGAATTCTCTGGTTGACATTCAAGACACAATACCAACTCATCTCTGAACACCACTGCTATAATTACTTGTCGCAATTCAACAGATAGCCCTTTACACAAACACTCACAAAGACATATTTGATATTTAGACTTAATTCAGCCACTACTTCCTTGAAAATATTTTCTAACCCTTCCCCCTTGCTCCTGAAGTGGGTTAGGTATGCCTCTCCCAAAGTACCTCCAGCAAACTTACCACCAGAAAATGTAACACACTGTATTGTCTTTTTTTTTTTTTTTTTTTTTTTTTTTTTTTTGGCTTATTCGTCTGTGTCCCCTGTAAAGATATAAGTTTCCTTAGGGCAGAAGGAAACTATTTGTCTTTATAGCTCCAATATCTAACATTATATTAGCATGTAAGCAGTGCTCATAAACTGTTTGTTTAAAATGATGGCACGTCCTGAATAAGTCTCGTGTTGCTGATCCTGATGCCAAAAACTTAGTGATATGTCTCTTCTAGTAAATGGCTGCCTTTCCCTCTTATCTTTCTTTATGTTTCTTCCCACTTCCAAAATTTGGATCAAATTTAACTTCCTTGGAAAAGATCAGGTATTCTTCAAAGAAAGACGAAGTGTTACTTGAGAACCCAAGCTGAGACAAAGCAATTTGTTTCCAAAGCAATCCTGCCTCTCACTGAAGAGTCTAAAAAACCACAGAATACAAAGAGACAAATAGCGTATGCAGAATCGTGATATAAGAGTTCACTATTCAACTCAGCACTAAAAATATACACCAAACTCCAAAATGTCATCTTTGGGACAGTTTATGTCCCCCATGTTTAGAGCCCAAGCTCCCCTCCCTTGCAATGTGATGAAATCTTTCCCCTGTTCAATACTCTTGCCACTGTTTCCAGGCCACTCTCTTCTCTGGCTCAATGTCTGAGGACTCCTAGGAAACCTCACTTTTTTGGTAGCTATTCTACACTTCCTTGTTTCAGGCATCATTTGGGAATTTCTGTTCTGTAAGCATACAACTCACCATTGCCATAACAATGCTTGATTGCATATGAGACATTTCCTAGGCAGCCTTTCTGAATCCATGTATGTCTGGTTTGGTTGCAGATACTTTCCTCCAAATACAATCCTGTTCACCATGGAAGACATTAAAACCTTCAGTGGTTGCTGCTGGGGGCCTTCACCAAAATGCAGCCATTCACCTTGCTGCTGGGGGCCTTCACCAAAATGCAGCCATTCACCTTTGCTTTTGCTCTACCTACAAAAAATGTTCATTGGCTCACTCCCGAGGTCAACTTTGATTCAAAGATAGTCTTCAGTTACCAAACCTTATCACATGACTGTAAAACTAGATAATAAACAAGTGTTTAAAATATGTACTTTTTTGTATTTCTTTCTACTAGTCTCATTTCTCTTTAGCTCAATATAAAGCTTAACTAACTCAAGAGGCAAGAATAAGATAGTAAAAATAATTGAACTTTTCAGTCACCATGTCATTTTATAGACTATTATATCAGCACATAGTTTTGCTATCCCTTTGAATTGATAGAAATTAATTTAAAGATTTCCTACTGGACATTTTAAAATGCGTATTGACCCACAAACCTGTAAATGGTTGAAAGTACTATTTGAGAGAAATCATTAGCTCAGGTGTAGGAATATAGAAGAACTACAAGATTATATTTGACAAAGCAAGATCTGAAAAAATGTATTTTCATTGACAGTAAGTAAAAATAATGTGGACTCTTACAAAGAAATTTGAAATTTATCAGAGAAAGCTTTGCAGAAAAGTAAATTTTCACTATTCACTTCATCTTTATTTTCAAACACATTCATCTCTATTCACAGATTAGGTGTTCTACACTTTAAAATTCAGCTTTATAACGTTATAGTTTTTCAATAGTATTATTATTGATCAGTCAGGTTCAGAATGTATAAACCTCTTTAAAGCAAATATAGACCTAATGCTGCAGAGCCCATTTGCCCAAAAAGCTTAGTGAATTCCCTGCAGTCACTTATAGGACTTTATCTTTCTTTAAAAAGTTGTGTTTTCTCAAACCAGGGCCATTTCTGCACAAGGTATGTCTCTTTCTATTAAGTGAATGCTGAATCGTGTATCTTTTTTGACTAGCGAGACTGAAGTCTTATTTTCTCTTTACCAGAAAATGAAAAAATTGAATGCTAATATTTCGTCTTCAGTTATATATGGGCATATGGTAGTGTAAGAATATATGCCAAATTATAGATGCAAAGCTGCCTGAAAATGTTATATTGCTTAAATGATGTTTGGGACATGATTCTTTCTCTGTTGAGAAAGAGAGGGGGTCACCTTATTATACTTAAAGGTGCAATTTTGCTTGGTTCTATGGTGGGAGAAGTGAACCTTTATTATCTGGGTATTCAAGTAAGAAAAGTTTAGATTAGAGCAAGTAAGCGAAAAATCACACATGCCCTAATGAAGAACAGCAAATGAATATCAGCAAATGAATTTCTCTGTAATTGTGGCTATCAGCAGGACAATATGGACAATGCTATCTCTACAATTTCAAGGACATTTAAATTATTGGGTTGATTAGAATATATTAAGAATTAGTAGCTAAAATATTTTTCTCACCTTCATTGTTTTTACAGATCAGACTTGACTGTACTAATTAGACAGTCAATAGAGAAACTATTACAGCAAAACTGAAAAACGTATGCATCTATTACATATGTCCTTGAGATCACAAAAAGTTATATTTGCCTGTTTTCATAAGTCCATGGTATAGTTTTACAAAATAACCTGCAATAATAGAAAATAACCCAAATCCTGTGTGGTTTAGACTAGTAGCCAATTGATAACCACATACAACACAACACATACAGTATGGAAGTATGCATACAATAAGTGCTACAAAAATTCAGAAGTGAGAGCTATCCCTAAGGAATGGAGAACTGTAAAAAGACACACAGCAGAGATGGAACTTAGTACAAAGGGAGACAGAGCCTTTTTGACAGGCACTGTTTGGTCAGTGGAGAGGGGATGGATCCATAGTGTTTGAGAGTAAGCAAAGTAATGAGTAAAGTAATTGGTTTGGAACACAGGATTCATTTACAGAAGGAAGAGAAGATAAGGTTGAAGAGGTACGTAGGAGACAATTGCAGGTTCCCCTGCAGCTGCGGAGTTTGGACAACAGGGAGACATTTATTCAACATATACATGTGTGCCTGCTACTTGAGAGATGTTGCAGTGGGTACTAGCTAGACATCTCTGAAAAAGATATTTGAGTTTGAAGAGAGTGTGAGGAAGATGAACTTCACTGGGAAATACAGAATAGATTACCGTGAAGATAAGCCAGTTTAAGTAGTATTGAAACAGCCCAGGTTGAAAAAAAAAAAAAAAAAAAAAAAAAAAAAAAGGCTACACATGTACCAGTGGACATGAACTGAAGCCAAAGCACATAAGAGGTTTATGGGAAGAAATTAGACTGCATGGCTGACAATGTGGGAAGAGAAACAAAGTTCAGCAGGTAAGCTTGTTGGCTCTGGGAAAGGATTATGCTTCAGGATCTAAAGAATATGCAATGCAGTTCAGATACTAACAAACCAAGTTAGGTCAAATTACACAGGTTAAGGGCACAGACCCCACAAGACTACCCTCACTTGAGACTCCAGTCACAAGGTCTAGAGTTCCCAGGCCACCCATACTTGGGACCAACCGGCTATGTTTTTTGAGGTTCTCACTAACCCCTCAGGTTTGAAAATTCACTAGAACAACTTACAGAGTTCAAGAAATTATATTAATACTTCAGAAAATTCAGAATTACGGTTTTGTTAGAAGAGATGAAAATCAAGACCAACCAAATAAAGAAATGCATAGGGCAAGATCTGAGAGGCTTCCAAACATGAATCATCCATGTCCCCAGAATGCATCAACCACTTGGCACATCAATGTGTATCACCAACCAGAAAACTGAACTGAGCTTCATTGTATTGAGTTTTTATTGGGGCTTCATTATATAGGCATGACTGATTGATTCATTGGCCATAAAGTTGAACTCAAAATTCAGCCTCCTTCTTCTTCTAAGCCAGAAGTCAGGCCAAGATCACATGGCTCAAAGCCCCAACCCTGTAATCACATGATAGGACTTTCTGGCATGGCCAGCCCCAATCTGTACTCATCTAATCAGCATAAACTATCTAGAGGTTCTCCATGAATCATCTCATTAGCATAAACTCAGGTGTTTATGCTAATAAACCATAAATAACAAACACTCCTATCACGTGGGAAATCCAAGGGTTTGGAGGCTTCCACCCAAGGACCAAAGACAAAAACCAGCCAAATTCTTTTTTTTTTTTTTTTTTTTTTTTTTTTTTGAGACGGAGTCTCGCTCTGTCGCCCAGGCTGGAGTGCAGTGGCGCGATCTCGGCTCACTGCAAGCTCCGCCTCCCAGGTTCACGCCATTCTCCTGCCTCAGCCTCCCGAGTAGCTGGGACTACAGGCGCCCGCTACCACGCCCGGCTAATTTTTTGTATTTTTAGTAGAGACGGGGTTTCACCGTGTTAGCCAGGATGGTCTCGATCTCCTGACCTCGTGATCCTCCCGCCTCGGCCTCCCAAAGTGCTGGGATTACAGGCGTGAGCCACCGCGCCCGGCCCCAGCCAAATTCTTTACTACACAACAGAATGAATTTGAGGTAACTCTTAGCTCTTTCAGGTGGAAACTCCAGCAGGCAGATGAAACTCCAAAAAAAAAACTGAAGAGAGAGAGAAATGAAGACTAGAGATGTGGCTTCAGCCACAAAGTAAAAGGTCACATGATATATAATTCATTTTTCATAGCTACTCAGCAAGTGCTGCAGTTGAGGGCAGAGTCCTTGACAAGACAGTATGCATAGGAAAAGCCACCCGAACATAGACAGCATATTTTTCTAAATAAATCAACTTTTAGCCTGACACTAACTTCATCTTGAATAGAAATAACTCTTTTTGCATCTCCTTTCTTAACCAAATGTCTAGAATATATATCTTTTATGAGCAGATAAATCTCTAAAAAAAGAGTGATTTCAAAAAATACATAAGTCCAAAGTTAACATAGCAGTGACTTAAATACTTCTTTCTTGTTAGACAAATGCAAAAGTAATGAGGTCAAAAATATTAATGCTCACTGTATTTTCTGCATTGCATACCAGTGGAAACTTAGCTGTAATTACCCTATTTGGCATGTTCTCATTTTAATTCAATGTCACAGAATACTGCAGTTTTCAGCTAAGAAACAACAGAAGACCAACCAGCCTACCCTCTGTACCTGCAACAATACTCACATGTATCTACCTCTGAAGAGGATTTTATGCAAATTAAAAATATGGTTTTTTATCTTTTTCTGCAACAGTCGCACAATTAAAAACTATATAAAATATATATTGCTATTTAGGCTATTTATTGTTCAACCTTTGAATGATCAGAGCTGGATTCCAGAAGGAATATGACTTCCTTTAAAGTATGTCTATAAGTAGAAGAGGAATATACTGTATGACAAATTATAATACACTATATTGGAATTTTGCTTCTCTATACTTCATTAATAGATTATGGACATGTGGCAAATATAGATGAACATGTCTGTTATTTCAAATTAATAAATGCAATATTATATCCATTTGCTCACATAATCAAAATGTATATGCATGCAAATTATTCACAATTCCATGGTTAGGAGTTATTAGAAAGTTGTTTAAGAAATAAACCATTTCTATCACATATTAGAGTGCTTAGTTTTAATCACAATGAGAACTTTCATAGGCTTATCTGATGTGCCCGTTTGAATCCTGTGAAAAGCAGATTCCAAGACGGAATTAGATGTGTAAGTGATTACTGGGAGAAATAACTGCAGAGAATAAAAAAGAGGAGCAGGAGCAGGAAAAGCCTCCAGTTTCTGATGCAAGTCTGACATCTGTGAAAACAGAGAAGAAAAGAGGAGAGCTTGGGTAGGGTGAACAGTACAATCCGAAAGCAAAGATGGGCTCTCAGCTTAGTGCTGTGTCAGGCAGGAATTGCCTGGCCCTAGTCGCTCTGCTGTCCTCAGGCTATTCCTGGGCTAGGGACAGCCCAGGAAGAGCATGAACTTTACATGAACACTGTGATGCATCCAAAAATGTAGCAACTAGAAGCTATTTGCCAACTATTCTTGCATCAGATTCTCTTGAAGGAGATATCTGCGTGGTACACTTCCATGGCCACCACAGTCCATCTCGAATGCCTCAGAGTCTCTGCACACATTTTCAGGAAGTATTCCCTCATTCCTGTGGGCCACTCTCCCTGAGAGAAATTCTAAAAGAGGAAAGTTAGGAAGACAAATTACAACCCCATCTCTGTAGTTAGTCCCAGAGGTCCTGCTCGTTTACCTGGTGACATGACCTGGATACTCATTCCTGATAGGTCAGCCTGAGGTAATCATACTTTTCTCAAACTAGGAGTGCTGCACATGTCAATTAACCATTAAAATTGAACAAGAGAATCCCACAAGGCATCAAAGTAGATCACCTGGATTCCACACGCATACCTCTCTCCCCTTACGGTAAAAGCAAACACCTCATTTGGGAGATCAGGTTCAATTTCTCCTGCCAGGATGATGACTTCTCTCCTGCTGTCTTCTGGATACAAAGTTTAACACTCCCAGGAGCAGCTCTATCTTGTAGTTTAACAGAATCTCTGCTGTTTTCCTTGGCAAGAGTTTGCCCCTTTTGCAGACTAGGACCTCCAAGTGGGTCATTAGAACTAATGGCAGATGGTTAGGGTGCCATTTTTTCTCCAGCCCTTGGTTCTTGGGTCCATATAGCCTTCCTATTTAGACCTCTGACTTAGCGTATATATCGTGTCCCAAAGTATACCAACCCACCCTTGTCCAGCATTGCCATCAAGGTGTCACTCCAGCGGTGCCATAGAAGTGCCTTCCAGCATTATGGGACACCAGCTGCCTCTGGGTGTTGTGGTATGTGATTCAATCAGTAGCCCAATTTTGTACCATACTTGTAATGAAGTAGTTCCTCTTGTTGGATGTTATGTTACAGATTCCATGTCTGTGGATCAACATTTTAGTAGGCAAATGGTGCGGACTTAAGTCTGTGGAAAGAAAACTCAAAGCCATAAGTATTACCCCTACTCGTAATAAAAGTATTTCTATCCCTGTGAGGGTGATCTCCTGGTTCTTCTAGAAAGGAACAACACCAATGTACTTGAATTGTCAACAAGTGTCCACTTGGTGTTTGTTGTTGGAAGGTTGACCATTCAGAGGTGCCAATAGCTGGATAAGCCTTGGTTAAGTGGCCACAGAGCCAGTGTATAGCCACATCTAGGCCACTGTGGCTAGGCTGTTCATCTGCCCATCATGCCATCTCTGGAGGGTCAATGAAAAAGGCTTTCTGAAGTCACTGGACAAATCGTTTTGTCTGCTTGGTTATTCAGGACTTCTGCTGTAGTAGGAAATTTCTTGGCATTGACATATGATACAAAATTCTTCAAACTTTGTATCCTCTCCCATATGTCTTTCTGCTACTTCTACCCCAGACCTCCTTGTCTTTAATGTTCTAAACTTTTTCTTTTCCAGTGTTAGGCCATTGGCTTCTAGCCAAGAATTTGTATATGTTTTCACCTCATGACACTCTTCCTCTCCTACAAAGTAGATAACCAGGTGACTAACTTGCAGCTCTACCCATTAGGAAAAGTTTCTCTCTCCACTGTGTTTTAAAGCCATCCCTGAATGTGACTGTAATGCAACCACTACCAATTTTCAGTTCACTCCCACATATCAAACTGACCTATTCATAAGCTAGACAGGCTATTTTCCCTTCTTCAGTCGGTCATAGGGGACAAACTCTATCAGGCCATGTGTGCAAGCTGGAGCACAGGCACTGAAGCAATTGTGGTGGGTAACATGAACCCTAAAAGGGCTACCTGCTTATGTTTCATACTCCTGCCCTCTTATTCTGCTCAGGCTTAATCAATGATGTATTATTTCCATCTTAAAATAAATGGAATGCTAATGGACCCATTCAACTTTATGATTTCTGGGTCCAACAGAATCCAGTTTCTAATAAGTAATACTGAGTGGAAGGCTGCCTATTACTCCATGGACAACAGTATGTCTCTATCAGGGCTCAGCAACACAGCAGGAGCTGTTTCTCAGAAGGCATATATTATTCTGCCACAGATGGCTCCAGAACTCCAGAGACCTGTGTTATAATGTTCCCACTAAGGCTTATAAATACCATACTGCATACTTACCCACCACTGACATTTCCAACACTGTAGGATTTGCCACAGAACTGGAGGAACCTTTACAGTCTGTTCTTGCTGCATTGTTACAGCATCCTTCCTCCTGGAACCCATATCTCTTATTCAATAGGCATTATACCAGAAAATATGTTCGGATTCAGGAACTGAGCAAGGGATCATGACTTTTAATAAGGGCAACTGCCTTTAGACTCATGTTCTTTCATGTTTGCCTTCTTCTGTTTGTAAATGTAAAACAGCCCCCTCATTGACTGTCCATCTAATTTTATCCTAGAGATGCCATAAGCATCCCCATAATTTCTTGCAAGTCAAGTCCTCATGGCTGCCCTTCCTATCCTGCCAATCATTATAGTAACTGTGATCTCCCAGCTTCAGGCAATCAAACACCTCCAAATTGGCTCTCTTTCTTTAGGTCCCATTATTCCCTTTGCCATTAACAAAGCCAGTTCTGTGAACACTTATCTGACCATCAGCCCTGGCTTGCAGAGGAGAGCTACCACTGACGTTCTTGGTGATGCAGATGCCCCTATCATATTCTCATTCTTGACCTCAATGAATGGTGTGTATTCTGGGCTCTTCCATGCAATACAATCCTCTGTTTGGTTTTCGGGTCTTACAGCCATTCAAGCATGTTCACTTCCTGCCGGGGAAACTCAGGCATTTCCACTTTGTTTAGAATGGGCCATCACTTTCCCCAGGCTTCTAACTGCCCCTCTAACGCTGAGTTTGCATTATCCCCTATGGTCTTTGCTGTAGTGTTAAATCTTTTGTTCCAATAAAAGACACCCCAGTCAATGAAGACATCTTTGCATATTCAGACTTACATTCTGGCTTACTTGATCAAGCAATCATAAAATCCATCTTATCGGCACTCTCTTGAATCTATCTGGTACATGTTAATGAATTTTTGCAGTTCCTTTGGATATAATCTCTTTCCTCCACTGTCAGGTTCAGCATGTTTCTAGCCAGGTTATGCTGAGATTTAATGCTGGTTATTGACCCAATAGCCAAAAAGGGGAGATGAGGCAACTCCTGAAGGGGTGTCTGTTGCCTTACAGAGGAGAGAACTTCATAGTGTCCTCACACATAGGGAAATCCCTTAATAGAGAGATGTGAACACCTTTGCAAGCAGTTAAGGTTTAAAGGAATTTACCATGCTACATTAGTTTTTATTTCTGTGTAATAAATTACAATAAGCTTAGCAACTTAATGCACATTTATTATCTTAAAGTTCCTGTAGGTCAAAAGTGTAGAGTTTAGCTAGATCCTCTGCCCAGGTTCTCACAAGGCTACAATTAAAACGTTGCTGGGGAAAAACATCTACTTCCAAGCTCATTCAGGCTGTGATGAATTATATACTTCTGGCTGTATAACTGAGGTCGAAGCTTCTTACTATCTCTATGGTGAAGCTTTTTTCAGGTGCTAAAGAATACCTAAATACCTTCTCATGGGATCCCCTCTGTGGTCAGTTCATTGATGGCTATTTGCTTCTTCAAGGCTAGCAAGAGAAGCTCTCTTTCCAATCTGTTAAAATGTGAGTCTTATATAAATGAAACATACCCACAGGAGTAACATCTTACCACTTTTGCCATGTTCTGTTATGATTAGAAGCAAGTCAGAGGTCCTACCCACACTAAAAGAGAAGGAATTATACAAGAACGTGGATCATTGGGGGTTACTTTAGAGTGTGTTCACCACAAGTATAAAAATATTTCAGACCATCCACCCAGATGTCCCATCCAATGTTTCAGTGGGCCAGATTTTCCCTTATTGGAACAGACCTCATTTGGCTGTGTATTTAAATGTCTCCGGAGCTCTTAATTGAGAGCTATTAACTGTGGGACCTTTAGCCTGCTACTCAGCTGTGTCAGCTCTTTCACTGAATGAGATAAGGGGCTCTTTCTAAGCTACCAAAAAGTCCTCTGGTTTCATGTCTATCTATTAACTACTTGCTACCCACAATTAGTTTTCATTTCTAATTTTCCCTTTACAGGAGTCAATACAAGTTAGTAATAAATGTATGACTCCACCATCTGTGTAGGCATTGTTCTTCCTTATATATTTCAAATGACTGGATTATTGTACTGGCAAGGGGATTCCCCTCCACCGGGATGGTTTTCTAGGTTATCAGTGGATGCCTTTTCAGCAATTAGGCCTCCATCTTCTGCCACGGATTTTCTGTACCCTACATTCTACTCAGGCCGGTGTCCTTCATGCCAGCTGGGCAGTAAGCAATGTAGTCCCCAGCCCCATCATATTGCATCCTTTCTCGAACTGCTTCTATATTAATGGGGTCACTTTGAGTCCTATGAGAAGCAGATTCCAAGGGAGAGGCAGAAGTGCAAGAGAATTATTGGAGATACATATTAGGGATAAAAGAGAGGGGTAGGAATAGAGAAGGAGACTTCAGATTGCAATGCAGATCTAACATATATAAATGGAGTGAGGCAAGGAAGGAAGAATGGGTAGCAGGAGCTTTAAATAATAATTTTAGCTTTCACTGTGGAGATCCCAAAGCAAAGATTGCCAATCAGCAAACTCCTGCATTGGGCAGGAGTAGCCCAGCTATAAGTCCCTTCTGATTTCAGCTATCAGCTGGGAGTAGCCTAGAGTAATAGTAGCCTCTAGGTGAATGCTGAGTGGGAAGAAGCAGCAGATGGAGGCTCTTCCCAACTGCTCTCTTTGCAGCAGTTTCTCCTGAAGGAAGATCTAAGGGTCACAACTCCATGGCTACCACATTTCACTTACTCTCTGTAAATGTTATTGTTTCCCTTTTGCAATGGTGAAATTTAACTTAGCAACATTGAGTAACTTCACAGAACAATACATCTTGTAAGCTGCAGAGATAGAACTTTAATTCAAGTTAGTCTGGATCCAGAAGCCATGCTGACTCTTCAATAAAACACTGTAATTACTAACTGTATACTCTCTGGCTCAGCAAAGGAACTTTGGAAAGAATAGATACTGTTTTAAGTACATAATATATAAATATGTAAAATCTCAATTAAAAGAATCAATAATACTACTAATGAAATAGGCTCCTTAAGTCTATTTGCTTAAAGGTCACTGGTAGATTAAGAATTTTTTTTTTAATGATTACCAAAGTCAGTGAAAAGGAATTAAGAAAGTGGATTTAAACTTCTGAATGCTTATAGTTTTATTTTTTGATTCATTTTATATTGCATATTTTTAAAATAGAATTTTTAATTAAAACTGATTTAGGCAAATAAAAACTACACGTGGAGTTTTGAGGGGAAATAGCCAACAGCAATGGAAAAATTATTATGTGGTAAGCATTTTTCTAAGTGATCCATAACTATATTTTTATCCTCACAACAACCCTTACACAAGTAATCGAAATGAAAGATTACAGACTGAAGGTCTTAATGCATAATAACAGACTTTGATTAAAATTTAGACATTTTCTCATTATATGAAAAAGATACTTGCATATATATGTTTATAGAAGCACAATTCACAATTGCAAATATGTGAGAACAATCTAAGTACCGATCAACTGAGTGGATGAAGAAAGCGTGGTATATACACATCATGGAATACTACTCAGCCATTAAAAAAAAATAGGCCAGACGCAGTGACTCATGCCTGTAATCCCAGCACTTTGGGAGGCCGAGGCAGGTGGATCACCTGAGGTCAGGAGTTCGAGACCAGTCTGACAAACATGGAGAAACCCCTTCTCTACTGAAAATACAAAATTAGCCAGGCGTGGTGGCACATGCCTATAATCCCACCTACTTGGGAGGTTGAGGCAGGAGAATCACTAGAATCCGGGAGGCAGAGGTTGCAGTGAGCTGAGGTTGCACCATTGCACTCCAGCCTGGGCAACAAGAGTGAAACTTCATCTCAAAAAACAAACAAACAAACAAACAAACAAACAAAAATAATGTATTTTCCAGTAACTTGGATGGAGCTAGAGGCCATTATTCTAAGTGAAATAACATAGGAATGGAAAATCAAAAACTGTATGTTCTCACCTATAAGTGGAAGCTAAGCTATGAGTACACGGAGGCATACAGAGTGATACAATGGACTTTAGAGACTCAGAAGGGGGAGGGTGGGGAGGGAGCTAGGGATAAAAAACTACACGATGTACACTACTTGGGTGATGGGTGTACTAAAATCTCAGAATTCGCCACTATATAATTCATCCATATAACAAAAACCACTTGTATCCCAAAAGCTATTGAAAAAAAATTTTTAATTAAACTTTTTTTATATTCAATTTCACCAAACTTAGCTCACTTACTCTTCAATATTATTTTTTAAAATGGCCTAGTTCCACAAAGACAGGGAAAATGTTTTGTTCAATGTGCTGCTGAGGAATATACCATAACTCAAAATAGACAGAAAACTCTGCCCTCATAGCACTTACATTCTAATAAGAAAATAACCCAAGAAATGATAAATATAAATAAATAACGCATTTGAGAAAGAGCTATACATGGGAAAACAATTAAGATCGGATCTATAGATATCAGCAGATGCCCTGTAAAAGAGCTCCAACTGAAAGGCTAATTAGCTTCCTTTGCAGGCACATGGATGGAGCTGGAGGCCATTATTCTTAGCAAACTATCACAGTAACAGAAAACCAGATACTGCATGTTCTCACTTAGAAGTGGGAGCTAAATGATGAGAACACATGTACAGACGGAAAGGAACAATGCACAACGGGGCCTATCAGAGTGTGATGGGTGTGAAGAGGGAGAGGAACAAGAAAAATAACTAATGGGTACAAGGTGTAATACCTGGGAGATAAATGAAATAATCTGTACAACGAACCCCCATGACACAATTATACTTAGATAACAAACCTACACTTGTACCCCTGAACTTAAAATAAAAGTTAAAATAAATAGACAAATACATAAATAAGTAAAGGCTAGTAATTGTCTAACAGGAAAATGTAATGTGAAAGTTAAAATATGTTAAAAATGTCTTTAAAAACCATCCTTTATAATCAATCTAAAATTGGTCATGTCATGCATGCGGCCTAAAGAATGTTCCATGTATAGTGGTAGACTGAATTCTGGAACTTCTAGGTAACTAGATCATCATGAAAAGACAGTCATTTCCCAAAGACACAGTGCTTGGTACAGAATTGGACTCAAAATAGTGCCCCACAAAAGGTAGAGTCTCTATTTGTTGATTAATTGATTCAGGCATTCAGACTGATTTGCCTTCAAAAGTGTTATCATTGCTAGAAAACAACAACAACAACAACAACAAAAACATTGCTTATTATTTTGACTTTCTATTTAGGTTCAAATTCCTTCAATATTTTAAAAATTTGTATCAATGTGGAAAACAATGCAAAGATAGGCTAAAGAAATAAATGGCAAATTATTCTAAAATAGTGCAAATTTTCTTGGAAAAATAGCAATTTAGGGAAAAAAGGATTTATTGCTTTAAAAAAATTTTTATGTTATGTAGTATTCTTGAAAATCCAAAGGTTAAGTAAAACTTGATGAAATTCTCTAATTATTTCTAGGGAATGTGTAGAAATTAATTACCTAGTGCCTCGACATAGGCAAATACTTCACATAAATTCAATTTTATTTGTGCTTCTATAAGCTATTAGCATTCATTTGGACACAATTCTTTGTTAAATTACTTTAGTTAATGAGGTATGCTATGAACATGCTATTGCTGACATTAGATACTCAAAATAGATAAAAAAAATCAGTCTTTTTCAGTTAATAAGCTTTCAGAATAAAATAAATTAACATTCTTCTTAATTTGTATTTTAACATTTAATTCTAATCACATACCCTCACTGCCTAACATGTCAAAATAAATCTGGTTTACAAGATATTAGAATGTTATAAATGTTATAAAGCACTGCTGCAACAAAATAATCATGTCATTATTTTAATAATAGATAGTACTTTAGAAAGAAGATAATCAAAATAAGATGATAGATAACTAGGACAATGAGACTGATAATCTAGATCAAAGCATAGTTATCCTTCAAAATTGTTACCCAGAGTGCATGCAGATAGCCATTCTGATCATTTAGAAGTCTAAAATGAAAGGATTTTTTATGAATCAGTCTTTAAATTCTAGGTGTAGAGACCTATAGCGACAGAACAGTTTAAAATGTGATATGGAACTAGTTTAATGCTTCTAAATTTAAGGTAAAAACCAACAATTACATATATCAAAGTAGATCAGTTATATTTTTAAATCCCAATAGTCCAATTACGTGTGGTGAAAATACTTAATTGCTTTGCATCTGCATCTACATCCTCATTTCTCTTGTTCTGAAAGTAGCCTCAACTGGAACTTAGTTTTATTTGTGATCTCATTCCAATGTTCCACATACAGAAAAAAGAATACAGAAAAAAAAAGTACTCAATAAAATAAGTTGTCCCTGAGAATTAAAGTAGTCATCTTAACTGATAGTTTTAGCAAGTTCAAATATAATATTCCAAATGAGGATTTTCTTGAATATTTTCAAATTTTCTCCACTTAGACTGGGAAGTCAGGGAGGAATGCTGAACTGGAGAATCGGGGAGCTGGGTCTATTACATGCTTTGTATTAACCAGCTAAATGGACTTTGCAAGCCACTTGACCCCTTTGAGTCTTAGTCTTCTCATTAATACACCTCTCAAAAGGGTTGTTGGGGTCAAGCAAAAAGAAATAAAGTAACAGGCAACACTACATGTGCAATATATGTAAGTTTATCATTCATATTTGACCTTTGCAGATGCCAAGAATCTACCCTAATCAATCAATCAAATTAATTAAATCACTTGATCATCTACAAATATTATTTAAAAAAATTTATGTTATTAATGGTTTAGAAAGCAATAGCATTATATATATATATATATATATATATATATGTATATTCTTTCATTGTAAAAGTAAAATTTTGTTATAACATTCTTAGCATCTTAGCATAGGGTCATCCCATTTCATTTTTCCAGCTAACCACTGCCCAATTATTTTACCCTCAACTCCACACATATAGTCATTGAGGACAAGAATAACTATTGCACTAACATTACAGTGTAATTATATGCCCTAGTCTTCCAGAAAGCCTTCAGATAGGGGAGGCTAATAGTGTATTTTAAAAGAAATAGGAAGTTTGGTTACACTTTTGAGTCACCAACATTTTACACCTAAACTCTCATTCTCACTTAGCCCATTCAATGATGCTGCTAGTTCAGGAGACACAGGAACATAAACGTTTGTCTATAGTTAGTTCCTTTCAGAAAGGAAATGCCATTTTGATACAGAACTATAATCTGTCTAACTCAGGATTCTGTCTTTTAACAGAAATAGTGACATTCTGAAGAAAAAATGACTGGTATCATTTATAATATACTTGGAACAGCCCTAATGTCCTTTTCATAGACTTTTATGGATTGGTCAACTTTGAATTTATCCAAATGATACTACAAATGCCTAAGCTAGACTTGGGCCATATCTCTAATTTTTCCTCTGGTAGGTAATGCATGTAGGATGTAGGTTGAGTATTGCTTATCCAAAATGCTTGGCCTAGAAGTGTTTTGGATGTCAATTTATTTTTCAGATTTTTGAATATTTGCAATATATATACTTACCACTTGAGCATCCCTAATCTGAAAATTCAAAATCCAAAATGTTTCAATGAGCATGTCTTTTGAACGTCATGTTGGCACTCAAAATGTTTCAAATTCGGAACACTTTGGATTTTACATTTTCAAATTAGGGATATGCAATCTGTACCATTCATCAATAACATCAAGGAATTCAGGTATTTCCAAGGAAAAAGAAGAGGTTAGCTGATTTTAGGGATGAGAGTGGGCAGAGTATAAAAAAGAAATAACACTACTACTTGTTTCTTCATTTATTTTTAGTTCTGATTTTTTGTATTGTTAAATTTTGAACTATATCCACTCACAACATCTCAAATAAAGTGAGCAAAGAACAGAAAAGGTTCAGCACTTTGCTAAGTAGACTTGAACCAAATAATAATATTTATTTAATGCTTACAAACAGCCAGGCACTATTTTAAGAGCATTATCTGTAGTAACTAGTAACTCATTTCTTCTTCTTGTTTTTTTTCTTTTTTCTTTCTTTTTTTTTTTTTTTTTTGGAGATGGAGTCTTGCTCTGTCACCCAGGCTGGAGTGCAGTGGTGTGATCTCGGCTCACTGCAACATCTGCCTCCTGGATTCAGGTGATTCTCCTGCCTCAGCCTCCCGAGTAGCTGGGATTACAGTCATGCACCACCACACCCGGCTAATTTTTGTATTTTTAGTAGAAAGGGGTTTCAACCTGTTGGCCAGGCTGGTCTCAAACTCCTGACCTCAGATGATCCACCCACCTCAGTCTCCCAACGTGCTGGGATTACAGGCATGAGCCACCATGCCCAGCCTATAGTAACTCATTTAATCTTGATATTGAACATGTGAAATATATTATGATGATTTTTATTCCTATTTGAAGATCAAAAAACTGCAGTTCCTTGAGGTTCACTTGCTTAAGTCATAGAGCTCTTACGTTGCAGGGCCAAGAGCCAAACCAAGGTCATACCGCATTCAGAACCTGCGCTCTTAATATGGATGAAAAATCCCCAGTTCACAATTTTTAAATAAAATACAGCAAAAACTTCCCCACACTCTGTGAAAAAAGTAAAAGAATCTGTTGTTCATGATGATGCCTCTATCTAGAATAAAAATGTCAGTGGACTAACTGAACTCCATTTCACCATTCCTTTTATCTGGATGTAGACCAGAATGTCATTAATGGTCAAGATAATTTAAGTCCCACCCTAAAAGATTGAATAGAAAATCACTGAACAGATGAAACTACTGTTATACAGACAAAACAATTAAATTTAATCAGAGGAAATAAAGATAAAATTATATTATTTTGTAGTGAATTGAGGTTGTCACACTAGGAAATCTTTGGAAGTATTATTATCCCTAGCAAAGGATTCTTTTTTAAAATATTAGCAGATTGTAGATCCATTCTGATAATCATCATGGCAGGTGAACTGATAGCTGAGTCAGCATGACTATTTATGTTACTACCAGAATGCACATGATACCTCTCTGATTCCCACCCATCATAACCATAACCTTGGGAGATTGCAGGAAGGAGAGTAAGACCACAACATGTTTAATAGACAACCTCAGCAAACTAGCTTCAAATCCTGACTTTATTACTTAATATGTGACTGTAAGTAGTGAGGTTCTCACTATTTGGGAACCTCATTCTCTCAAGTTCAAAATGAAGCTACTGGTGCTGTTAAAGAAGCGAATAAAATAATGTGCTTTAAAGTGTCAAGCACCATTTCTGGGTTAAAATACTTTTGACTTGAATCAAAATAAATTGAACTATAAATTGTCTTTATTATTTTTGGTCTGGAGGATGATTTAGTCATGCAGTAGGCCAGTTAATCTAGGAAACAGAGAGACGGTCAGAAAATATCATCTGGTAAACTACTTGAGTAAAAATGTCCCAATGTTGCTGTTGGTTGTTTATTTATTTGTAGGTTCAAGGGAAGAATTTATACTAAGATTGCTGTAGAATGCCAAACATCTCCCATTTACAATTGGTTAGTATGAACAGTAACAGCTTTCCTCTAATTCTTTGAGACACAAATTTGCATTATTCAGTAGAATTAATACCCTGAATCAAGAAATGTCTTCATTTAAAGTTACATACACTAAAAAATCACTGAGAGTTTCTTATAGCCAAATAAAGCAAGATTGTAATGACTGCAGAAAGAAAATAGTAGGGAGTGGGTGTAAGAAAAAAAGAAATGTGGATGCAGAAATGCCTTAGCTGGACAGATATGAGACCTAATTTCTCATCCTATAATAATTAGGATGTGATTTTACACAACAAATGTCATCTGTCGGGGCTGCTGGTGACATGTGCAAAATAAGGGTAACAGACTAGGTTGATTCCTAAGGCCTCAAGCATTCTATGATATTATCAAGATTTGACAAAAAATGATTGTTAAATTATGTATTACACGTAGACATTCATTCACTTAAGCATCCAGGAAATATTTACTGAGCAACTAGTAAGTGCCAGGTACCATTTTAGGAGCAGAAGTTATCGCAGGAAATATGCCACACAAGGTTCTTGGTCTCCTGACCCTTGTATTCTATAGGAGGAAACAGTAAAAAGAAACAATAAACAAATACGTAAAAAGCTACATTTTGGCTGGGTGCAGTGGCTCACGCCTGTAATCCCAGCACTTTGGGAGGCCAAGGCGGGAGGATCACAAGGTCAGGAGATGGAGACCATCATGGCTAATATGGTGAAACCCCGTCTCTACTAAAAATACAAAAAATTAGCCGGGAGTTGTGGCGGGCACCTGTAGTCCCAGCTACTCGGGAGGCTGAGGCAGGAAAATGGCGTGAACCCAGGAGGCGGAGCTTGCCGTCAGCCGAGATCGCGCCACTGCACTCCAGCCTGGGCGACAGAGCAAGACTCCGTCTCAAAAAAAAAAAAAAAAAAAAAAAAAAAAAAAGGCTGCATTTTGAACAGTTTTAGACTACTTTGCCTATGGAGAAGAGGTGTGGTGGTGTGCAGCTGTAATATTTAGGTCCATAAAAATGCTTTACTATTGGTTGATGACTTGGGCAAGTTTCTAAACTTTTCTCAATATTCTTGTCCATAAATTAATAGAATTTTTGAAATAATATATGTAAAGTGCTTGGCACAGTGTCTGGGACAAAATAGTTGCTCAATAAATAATAGATAATGCCACTGTCATTTATTAACTCTTTTGTGCCTGGCACTATGGTAAGCATTTAGAAGCATTGTCTTATTTGCCCTTCTGCAACAACACTGAGAGTAGACATGACTATAACCATTTTAAAGTTAAGAAAACTGTGACATGAGGAGTTTAAATAACAGTGCCACATAGATAGCAATATTGAGCTGGTTGGGAAATGACCATAAGGTCTATATTTATTCTAACAAACCACTTTCCCTTCCAAAAAGATTGCCATAAATCTTAGACTTTATGATCTTCTTTCAACCACAGTTTTATAAAAAGACCTGTTATCTGAGCTTTCCATGTTCAGTGCTAAAAAGTGACAAATAATATGCAATTCTGAGGATCTAGAAAAAGTGTCCTCATTAGCCTCATAAAGGAGAACAAATGAGAGAGTTTGTAGAGATACTGAACATATATGCTTTCACTGTAGCAAACTTTGAAAAAAAATTACATAGGAAATTTTCAGGATATTTTAAAGATTTTTTCTAGTACTTTACTTTTTGCATATGGCCATGACAAGACAGAAGTTATATATGTTCAAGTATATAATTTATATATGCACATGTATACAAGCACATACTTGATATGACCTGATTCTATTAGCTCTCTCCTATATGGTTGATGTGCTAAATTGTTCCTGAATAATGCTTTCTAGAATACTGCATGTTCTCACTTATAATTGGGAGCTAAACACTAAGCTCACGTGGACATAAACATGGAAACACTGGGTATGGCAGACTACTAGAGAGGGAGGAATAGAGAGGAAGGTGAGTTGAAAAACTACCTAATGGGTACTATGCTCAGTAGCTGGGTGCAATATACCCATGTAACGAAAGTTCAAAATAAAAGTTGAAATTTTGAACAAAGAATCAAATGAGTGTATATAGGACTCACTAAGAAAGTACTCCCTGTATCTAAAATAAAAGCTGAAATTTTGAACAAAGAATCAAATGATTGTATATAGGACTCACTAACTAGATGAATTCCACCATGTACATAAACGACTCACACATTAGATTGCTACTTCTAATGAAAGCTTAAAATGCTAAGATTTACAAGTTACAACAGAAGTAGTAGAGGAGATAAAACTTAAATTTAAGGTTTCATTGTAGATATTCTCCAGGCATACTTACTTATCCTATCCTTTTGCTCACAAACTCTTAGTCTTACCTCTGTAAGAGTATTTACTTTAGCCTTTTCTTTGCAAATGGCTCCATATGTGTCTCTTTCTATAAAACTATGATGCTTTTCATAAGGTGATTGGGTACTTTTTTCACTAGGCTTTGTATACCAGTATATGCAATAGCCCAGGTGAATGTAAAGCTCTCAAGAACAGATTGGTAAATGACTATATGAAAGAATTAGTGAATATTAGAGAAGTGCAAGATATCTAACAAATGTCCTGTCCCAATTGCTTGATTTTATACAGGGTTTACATGTCATTGATTGTTTTGAGTTGTATTTAACTACACTGTCTTTGAAAAAGTGTCATAAGTAACCCACTTATGCATTATTTATAAAATATTTTTACCAAAGAGATGCAAAACGCAGTTTCCATCTAGATATGAATACATAGCCAGCCAATTCCTGCCATTTTCTCCATCAGAAAGATATCATAGGGGCCTTCTTCAGTATTAAATCCCAACAACCAAGTATTTCCAGAATGGTCCTTAGCATGTTAATAGGTATTATTAAGTTATAAGAGTGGATTCCGTGACTATAGTAGTGGATTTAAAATGTGTTCACAAATTATTTGGTACTTCTCAACGTGTGAGACCTAAGTCCCCTCCTCTTGAATAAGGGTTGTAGCTACTTGTTTTGAACAATGTTTAGCTTTTAAAAACACTGTCTTAGAAGGCATTGGGAAAATTAAGGAAGAGGGACATTGTGGTTTCCTTCTTGTTCTCTCTCTTGGATTGCTTGCTCTAGGGAGAGACAACTACTGTGTCATGAGAATACTTGAGTAACACTAAGCAGAGGTCCACATGGTGAGGAACTAAGACCTGCAGCCAACAAGTGTGTGCGCCATCCTGGTAGCAGACCCTATAGGACCAGTTAAGCTTTTAGGTGACTACAGCCTCAGCCATTGTCTTAGTTGCAAAGCCATAAGAGATTCTGACCCACAAACACCCAGATAAAAGGCTCCCAAATTCCTTATCCCAAAAAAAGTGAGATTATAATTTTTTATGATTTTAAGTTGCTAAATTTTCAGATAATTTGTTATACAGCAATATAAAACAAATGCAAGTTTTAAATATATGAAGCAAATCTCTTTTAAAACCATGCTAAATAGGTATGATTTTTCCCCTAGATTGAAATATAATTTGTGAATGTGATTTCCTAATAGGAAAATATAGTAGCCAAAGTTTTTTCAAGTTTTGTTTTCAATTTTTTTTTTTAAATATATATATTGAGACAGAGTCTCGTTCTGCCACCCAGGCTGGAGTGGAGTGGCGTGATCTTGGCTCACTGCAAGCTCCACCTCCTAGGTTCACGCCATTCTCCTGCCTCAGCCTCCCGAGTAGCTGGGACTACAGGCACCAACCACCACGCCCAGCTAATTTTTTTTTGTATTTTTAGCAGAGACGGGGTTTCACCGTGTTAGCCAGGTTGGTATCTATCTCCTGACCTCGTGATCCTCCCGCCTTGGCCTCCCAAAATGCTGGGATTTTAGGCGTGAGCCACCGCACCCAGCCTGTTTTCAAAATTTTTAAACTGGAACATCGTGAAAGATTAGTATTCCTCAGGATATATTCTGAGAAAAACTATTTTAAAACATATTCACTCCCCTCTCACTGCTAGAATTGACTGCTTGGAAATTTACCAGCTTTCTCCTAGCTTTTAAGGATTATTTATATGACTTCTACTTAGAATAGCTAAAGCTAACTCAAAAGAAGCTAATTCATTAACCCTTTTCTAGTTCCATTGACCAGGGTCTAAAACTTACCTAAAAACCAGTGACTAGCTGATTTTAGAAAATGGTAGAATAGCATACAAATTTTACAAATGATAGCTATGAAGCCCGTAGTCTACATAATGTAAAAATGTTAAATCCTTGAATGAAATATAATTGTGACAATGTGAAAATTATATGCACTAGAAGCAATCTTGGAAAGGGATTCACCAACATTATAAATAGCTACATAAAAATGGTAAATAGATTATACATCATTATAGTTACTCTTTTTGAAATAACTTTAATGTTTTTGTTGTCGTCATTGCCGATTTTGAGACAGAGTTTCGCTCTTGTTGCCCAAGCTGGAGTGCAGTGGCGCAATCTCGGCTCACTGCAACATCCACCTCCTGGGTTTAAGCGATTCTCTGCCTCAGCCTCCTGAGTAGCTGAAATTACAGGTGCACACCACCATGCCCAGCTTATTTTTTGTATTTTTGGTAGAAATGGGGTTTCACCATGTTGGCTAGGCTGGTCTCGAACTCCTGACCTCAAGTGATCCACCTGCCTTGGCCTCCCAAAGTGCTGGGATTACAGATGCTGGAGAGGATGTGGAGAAATAGGAACACTTTCACACTGTTGATGGGAGTGTAAATTAGTTCAGCCATTGTGGAAGACAGTGTGGCGATTCCTCCAGGATCTAGAACCAGATATACCATTTGACCCAGCAGTCCCATTACTGGGTATATACCCAAAGGATTATAAATCATTCTACTATAAAGACACATACACACATATGTTTACTGCAGCACTATTCACAATAGCAGAGACTTGGAACCAACCCAAATGCTCATCAATAATACACTACATAAAGAAAATGTGGCACATATACACCATGGAATACCATGCAGCCATAAATAAGGATGAGTTCATGTCCTTTTCAGGGACATGGATGAAACTGGAAACCATCATCCTCAGCAAACTAACACAGGAACAAAAAACCAAACACTGCATGTTCTCACTCATAAGTGGGAGTTGAACAATGAGAACACATGGACACAGAGAGGGGAACATCACACACTGGGGCCTGTTGGGGGGTGGGGGATAAGGGGAGGGATAACATTAGGAGGGATACTTAATGTAGATGATGGGTTGATGAGTGCAGCAAACCACCATGGCACCTGTATACCTATGTAACAAACCTGCATGTTCTGCACATTTATCCCAGAACTTAATTATACCTAATTAAAAAAGAAAAAAAGAAAAAAAATTAAATACCATCTTAAACAAAATTTTCATACATATCCATAGAATTGCTTCTTCTTCTCCCTTTACAGGTGTACACACACACACACACACACATATGTATATATATACACACATATATATACACACATATAAAGGGAGAGAGTTGAGTATGTGTGTATGTGAGTATATATGTGTATATATGTATATATATATAAAACAAGCAGAAATGTTAGACTGATATAGCTATAATATGCTTTGATAATTCATAATTCAGTATTCTCTTCATTGTCCTTCATAAAAAGTATCTGGGCTATTCTTAGAATTCTTGTCTTCCAATGTGGACTTTAAATCAGTTTGTCAAGTTGCATTGAAACACCTTGTTGGGATTTAGGGAGGAATTGCATTGAGTTTAAAGATCAATTTTGAAGTAAATCATTGGCTACATTAAAGAAATTTCTAGGCCGGGCATGGTGTCTCACACCTGTAATCCCAGCACTTTGGGAGGCCAAGGTAGGCGGATCACTTGAGGTCAGGAGTTTGAGACCAGCCTGGCCAACATGGTGAAACCCAATCTCTACTAAAAATACAAAAAATAGCCAGGCGTGGTGGTGCACAGCTGTAATCCCAGCTACCAGGGAGGCTGAGGCAGGAGAATTGCTTGAGCCCAGGAGGTGGAGGTTGCAGTGAGCCAAGATTGCACCACTGCACTCCAGCCTGGGCAACAGAGCAAGACTCTGCCTCAAAAAAAGAAAAGAAATTTCTTTAATGATTTTTGGGCTATTCATAATTTCTACATCTTCTTGAGTTAATTTCAGTAAGTGTTAATTTTTTTAAAAATCATCCATTTTGTCTAGATTTTTTTAATCTTTGGCAAAGAGTTGTACAGAATTTCTCACACATCTTTTTTTTTTTTTTTTTTTTTTTTTGCTTGGAACTCATATGTATGCTTCTACCTCAAGTCTAATGTAATTTATTTTTATATTCCTCTTTTAAAAAATTATTTCAGAGGCTTATCTATTTTATTGTTTTTTAAAATCAACTAATTTTTTCTCTTGATGTTTATATTTAATTATTTTATATCTGAACTAATTTTTGCTCCCCTCTTCTGTGTGTTTATTAAATTGTGCAGTATTAGCATGTTATGTATTATATTATTTTTAATTTTTAATGGAAATTTTAGGGAAAATGTTAGCTATTCTCTCAGCTCACAGATATGGTCTTTAGTTGTGCTTATTTTACATCTCTTCCCTCTGTTTTTCTTTATTTCAACAAACTTTTAATGTCCAAAATCTCTACTTTGTCCTTTTTTATGATTATAATAGTCTGTTGTAACTAACTTTTTCCAAAAAAAATTAATCATGCGTATCCTGAAGTTTTTTCCTATTTTCTATATTACTCTATTTTGTCAGGTGTTATTTGACTTATGTTTTATTTGATAACTCTATTTTATGGTTTTAATTTCCTCCATGCATTCAGTGATTCTTGACTATTTGATCACATTTAAATCAGATAACCCTTGACCACTAAAGGAAACCAAAAATATTAAACCCCATAATATACTTTATTGACATGTTTGAGATATCTATTTAGAGGGCCTGCAGATAAAAATAAACCTGAAAAGCTGCTTTTTGTGGAAGATATTTGCACCTGTAGAGAAAAACAAACTGCCAGGCCTTCTCTGAAGCCCTCCTCAATATCCAGATCTAGGAAAGATCACTCAGCCAGTCTTCCAACTATTCTTTCTGAGGGCTGCTACCTGTGAGGTTACATCTGCATAACAAGACCTACTTTGCTAGCCATACCTTTCTTTCTTTCTCTTTCCTATAACCTGTCTTGCCATGCTCTAAGCCCCCATTCTTACCATAACCTCAAGATGATATAAAAGGATCTATTATCTGGCCGTTTCTTGGAATTTTCATATTTTGTATGACTTCCACGCACACTTCTGCACATTTAAAAATTTTTTATGCCTTTTCTCCTGTTTCTCCTTCCTTTTGTCAGTTTTAATTTTCAGCAAAACTTTGAAGGGGAAGGGCAAAAGGGAAGATTTCCCTTGGCCCGTTCATTTTTGGCACTGTGAGCAAGATAACCAAACCCACTCTGCTCTTCTGGAAGCTGAAGTCAAAGGAACACTGGACCTGACAAGTCAGCAGAAGGGTAAGAATTTCTTACTTTCACTTGTGTCCATGTGAACAGACCACCAAACAGGCTTTGTGTGAGCAATAAAGCTTTTTAATCACCTGGGTGCAGGCAGGCTGAGTCCGAAAAGAGACTCAGCGAAGGGAGATAGGGGTGGGGCCTTTTTATAAGATTTGGATGGGTAGTGGAAAATTACAGTCAAAGGGGGTTGTTCTCTGGCTGGCAGGGGCGGGGTTCACAAGGTGCTCAGTCAGGGAGCTTTTGAGCAAGGATGAACCAGGAGAAGGAATTTCACAAGGTATTGTCATCATTTAAGGCAGGGACCGGCCATTTTCACTTCTTTTGTGGTGGAATGTCATCAGTTAAGGCAGGAACAGGCCACTTTCACTTCTTTTGTGATTCTTCAGTTACTTCAGGCCATCTGGATGTATACATGGAAGTCACAGGGGATATGATGGCTTAGCTTGGGCTCAGAGGCCTGACATTCTTGTCTTCTTATATTAATAAGAAAAATAAAATGAAATAGTGGTAAAGTGTTGGGGTGGTGAAAATTTTTGCAGATGGTATGGAGAGATAATAGGTGATGTTTCTCAGGGCTGCTTTGAGTGGGATTGGGGCAGTGTGGGAACCTAGAGTGGGAGAGATTAAGGTGAAGGAAGATTTTGTGGTAAGGGGTGATATTGTGGGGTTGTTAGAAGAAACATTTGTCATTTAGAATTATTGGTGATGGCCTGGATATGGTTTTATATGAATTAAAAAACTAAACAGAATAAGACAAGGAGAAAAATATGTATTAAAGGACTAAGAATTGGGAGGACCCAGGACATCCAATTAGAGAGTGCCCAAAGAGGTTCAGCATATCCTGCCAGCAAAGATTATTTATTTACTTTAAGAGTTAAGAGTGGCGGTTTGGGGATAGCACCAGGAGATATCAGCTATGGTATGGTACTAAGCTATGGCTTGGAGAAGCAGTGTAATCCAGCAGTGTAAACAAGAGCAGGGCATTTATGAATAGTTGAGAATGGTGAATAGGAATATGACTAGACAGAAAATAGTAGGGATGGCAAGTTTTGTGGGGTGCAGTCCAAGTTGGTCTGGTGTCTGGAATGAGACTGGGGCCTAATAAAAAGGAGCATCCATACAGGAACTTAAATGGGCTGTACCTTGTAGCATCCCGAGGACAGGCCCGAATTCGCAGAAGGGCAAGTGGTAAAAGTATTGTCCAGTCCTTTTTAAGTTGGTGGCTGAGCTTGGTGAGGTGTGTTTTTAAAAGACCATTAGTCCATTCTACCTTTTCTGAAGATTGAGGATGGTAAGGAGTATGAAGGTTCCACTGAATGCCAAGAGCCTGAGAAACTGCTTGGGTGATTTGACTAATAAAGGTCAGTCCATTATTGGACTGTATAGAGGTGGGAAGGCCAGGCCAGACCAAGGAATTATGTCTTACAGAAGGGAAGAAATGACCATGGTGGCCTTTTCAGACCCTGTGGGATAGGCCTCTACACATCCAGTGAAAGTGTCTACCCAGACCAAGAGTTATTTTAGTTTCCTGACTCAGGGCATGTAAGTAAAGTCAATTTGCCAGCCCTGGGCAGGGGCAAATCCCCAAGCTTGATGTGTAGGGAAAGGAGGGGGCCTGAACAATCCCTGAAGAGTAGTAGACTAGCAGATGGAACACTGAGAAGTGATTTCCTTGAGGATAGATTTCCACAATGGAAAGGAAATGAGTGGTTCTAAGAGACAGGCTAGCGGCTTGTAACCTACATGGAAGAGGTTATGAAATGACAACAGAATAGAATGGGCCTGTGAGGCTGGAAGGAGATATTTTCTTTGGTCCAAGAACCATTTGCCTTGTGTGGGAAGAGATTGATAGGTGGAAGTTTCAGTGGTGGAGTAGGTGGGAGTGACCAGATGAGAAGGAGAAAAACTGCCATGAGGGATAAAAGTTGGAATACTAGTTGCTTTTCTTAGCTACCTTATCAGCATAAGCATTGTCCTGAGCAATGGATCTGATGCCTTTTGATGACCCTTGCAGTGAATGACTCCAGCTTCCTTTGGAAGTAAAGTGGCCTTGAGAAGAGTTTTTATTAAAGAGGTATTAATGATAGATGACCCTTGTATAGTGAGGTAATTTCTTTCAGCCCCTATAACAGCATGGCTGTGCAGGATATGGAAAGCATATTTATTTAGAGTCATATAAATATTGATGCATAGTCCTTTTGCAAGAGCAAGGGCTTGAGTTAAGGAAAGGAGTTTGGCTGGTTGAGAGGTAGTGGAGGGGGCAGAGCGGTAGCCTCAATGATAAGTGTGGAAGATACTACAGCATAGCCTGCCTTTGCTGGTGAGTGGTGATTAGGCGTGGTGGAACCGCCATCAATAAACCAAATGTGATCAGGGTGAGAAACAGGAAAGAAGGAAATATGGGGAAATGGGGTGTATGTCAGGTGGATCAGAGAGATACAGTCATGGTGGTCAGGTGTGGTATCTGGAATAATGTGGGAGGCTGGATTGAAGGCCAGCCAGGAACAATGGTAATTGTGGGAGGCTCAACAAAGAGTGAGTATAGCTGAAGGAGCTGGGGAGCAGAAAGTATATTTATCAGGTGGGAGGAAGAAAATAGATTTTGGAAGTTATGAGAACTGTAGAGAGTGAGTTGAGCATAGTTTGTGATTTTGAGGGCCTCTAAAAGTATTAAGGCAGCGGCAGTCATTGCAGACAGACATGAGGCTAGGCTAAAACATTAAGGTCAAGTTGTTTGGATAAAAAGGCTACAGGGCATGGTCCCGGCTCTTGTGTAAGAACTCTGGCTTGACTGAAATAATGGGGTCTGTCTGTGAAGCCTTGCAGCAATACAGCCCAGGTAATTTGCTGAGCCTGATGGGTGTCAGGGTCAGTCCAAGTGAAAGCAAAGAGAGGCTGGGATGAAGGATGCAAAGGAATAGTAAAGAAAGCATGTTTGAGATCCAGAACAGAATAATGGGTTGTGGAGGGAGGTATTGAGGGTAGGAGAGTATATGGGTTTGGCACCACGTGGTGGATAGGCAAGACAATTTGGTGGATAAGGCACAGATCCTGAACTAACCTGTAAGGCCTGTCTGGTTTTAGGACAGGTAAAATGGAATTGTAAGGAGAGTTTATAGGCTTTAAAAGGCCATGCTGTAACAGGCAAGTGACAACAGGCTTTAATCCTTTTAAAGCATGCTGTGGGATGGGATATTGGCATTGAGCGGGGTAAGGGTGATTAGGTTTTAATGGGATGGTAAGGGGTGCATCATCTGTTGCCAAGGAGGAAGTAGAGGTGTCCTATACTTGTGGATTAAGGTGGGGAAATACAAGGAAAGGATGTGAAGGAGGCTTTGAACTGGGGGGAAAGGTGGCAATGACGTGTGGCTATAGCCTAGGAATAGTCAGGGAAGCAGACAATTTAGTTAAAATGTCTTGACCTAATAAGGGAGCTGGGCAGGTGGGGATAACTAAAAAGGAGTGCTTAAAAGAGTATTGTCTAAGTTGGCACCAGAGTTGGGGAGTTTTAAGAGGTTTAGAAGCCTGGCCATCAATACCCACAACAGTTATGGAGGCAAAGGAAACAGGCCCTTGAAAAGAAGGTAATGTGGAGTGGGTAGCCTCTGTATTGATTAAGAAGGGTACGGACTTACCCTCCACTGTGAGAGTTACCTGAAGCTTGGCGTCAGTGATGGTGTAGGGGGCTTCTGAGGCGATCGGGCAGTGTCAGTGTTCAGCCACTAAACTGAGAAGATCTGGGAAGGAGTCAGTCAGAGAGCCTTGGGCCAGAGTTCCAGGGGCTCTGGGAGTGGCTGCCAGGTGAGTTGAACAGTCCAATTTTCCGTGGGATCCTGCACAGATGGGACACAGCTTAGGAGGAATCCTGGGCTACAGGCATTCCTTGGCCCAGCAGCCAGATTTCTGGCACTCGTAGCAAGATCCTGGGGTAGGCGGTCCTGGAGGAATGCCTGGCCACTGCGGTTCAAGCCTTTGGAAGTTCTTGTGTCCTGGAGATTTGGCTGGGGTTTGTCTCACAGTGGAGGCAAGGAACTGCAACTCAAAAATACATTGCTACTTGGGTGCCTCTACTCTATTACTGTACATCTTGAAGGCTAGGTTAATTAAGTCCTGTTGTGGGATTTGAGGGCCAGAATTTAATTTTTGGAGCTTTGTTTAATATTGGGAGCAGACTGGGTAATAAAATGCATATTGAGAATAAGACGGCCTTTTGACCTTTTAGGGTCTAGGGCTGTAAAGCATCTCAGGGTTGCTGCCAAATAAGCCGTGACCTGGGCTGGGTTTTTATATTTGATGAAAAAGAGCCTAAATGCTAACTGATTTGGGAGAGGTCGGATAAAGAAAAAGGAGCATTAACCTTGACTATGCCTTTAGCTCCAGCCACCTTTTTAAGAGGGAATTTCTGGGCAGGTGTGGGTGGGCTAGTCACGGAATGAAACTGTAAGCTGGACCAGGTGTGAGTAGGGGAGGTGACAAAAGGATTATAGGGTGGGAGAGCAGAAGTTGAGGAAGAATTGGGACCTGGCTCAGCCTGGCTAGGAACAGCCTGGGGAGGAGGGGAGAGGTGAGATGGGTCTGTAGAAAAGGAATATTGGAAAGACTCAGCAACACTTGGGGTTAGGACTGAGGGGACAGGTGGGAGGGAAAGAAGGAGGATTTGGGATGAGTTGCATTGGGAACAGAGACTAGGGAGGTACCGATGTGTAAAATAATGCCTGGACGTCAGGCACCTCAGACCGTTTGCCTATTTTATGACAAGAATTATCAAGATCTTGTAGTATGGAAAAATTGAAAGTGCCATTATCTGGCTATTTGGAACCACTGTCAAGTCTGTATTGGGGTCAAGTGGTGTTGCAGAAGAAAATAAGATGCTTAGATTTTAAGTCAGATGTGAGTTGAAGAGGTTTTAAGTTCTTGAGAACACAGGCTAAGGGAGAAGAAGGAGGAATGGAGGGTGGAAGTTTGCCTACAGTGAAGGAGGCAAGTCCAGAGAAAAGAGAGGGTAGAGACATGGAGAGAAGGGGTGGGGGGTGCCTGCCCCCCAGGAAAGTGGAAAAGGGTTGGGGGATGCTTGCCCCCCAGGAAAGTGGAGAGAAGAGAGGGTAGAGAAATGGAGAGAAAGGGTTGGGTGAGCAGCCCTGGGCTGCAATGTGGGTGAGCAGCCAAAGCAGGCATCCCCACAATTGACTTGCCACCAAGGGAATGTGGGTGAATGACCAAGGCAGGCATCCCTGCAGTGATCAAACACCAATGAAATGTGGGTGAATAATCAGGCAGACGTCCCTGCAGTGATTAAACACCAAGGGAAGACTGTCTTCCCGAGTCCATGACTGGCGCTGGAGTTTTGGGTCCATAGATAAAACGCATCTCTTTGTCTCTACCAGAAAAGGAAAGGAACTGAAATTAAGAGAAGGGAGAGATTGAAAGATGTTGCCAAGATTGAAAGGAGAAAGAGGTTGTGGGATAGTGAGAGAGGTTGGAGAAGAGAGTAAAGAGAGGCCACTTATCCTATTTAAAATTGGTGAGATGTTCCTTGGGCTGGTTAGTCTAAGGACCAGAAGTCGTAGACGGATCTCTTCATGGAGTGAGGGTGAGGGCAGGGGGCTGATCTCCTGAAGAAGTCCCTCTGACCCGGGTCTTCGGCACCAAATTTCACTCGCGTCCATGTGAAGAGACCACCAAACAGGCTTTGTGTGAGCAGTAAAGCTTTTTAATCTCCTGGGTGCAGGTGGGCTGAGTCCGAAAAGAGACTCAGTGAAGGGAGATAGGGGTGTGGCTGTTTTATAAGATTTGGGTGGGTAGTGGAAAATTACAGTCAAAGGGGGTTGTTCTCTGGCTGGCAGGGGCGGGGTTCACAAGGTGCTCAGTTGGGAAGCTTTTGAGCCAGGATGAGCCAGGAGAAGGAATTTCACATGGTAATGTCATCACTTAAGGCAGGGACTGGCCATTTTCACTTCTTTTGTGGTGGACTGTCATCAGTTAAGGCAGGAACAGGCCATTTTCACTTCTTTTGTGATTTTTCAGTTACTTCAGGCTATCTGGATGTATACATGTAGGTCACAAGGGATATGATGGCTTAGCTTGGGTTCAGAGGCCTGACACTTACCACTCATATTCCCAGGTGTTAGCCTGTGGAACCCATCAAGGAATGGTACAAAATAAATAAATAAATAAATCACTATTTGTCTCTTTTTCTTTTTCCAAATTTAAGATTAACAAGTGAAAAGCATTTATGCAGACTAGCCTTAAGTGTACCAACTGTCATGTAATTTTTTGATATGAATCTTCATACTGTCTGAATCTTTTCCTTCCAGAAATAGTCTTTATTTTTTCCTTTGTCTCTTTCTGTGTCATTTGTCGTAGAGTCATTCTCATCTTGTTCTACATTCCTGATAGCTTGGCTTGTGACCAAGTGGCAGCACTCTTTACTGGTCTCTGCCATTTGGGGGACCTGATTTTCAGGTTCTTTCCAGTGGCCAGTGTGAAAGGACTGGGAACAGAGTCATCAGATATTAAGCAGCACCTTCTGTCTTCTGAATGGGCTAAGTTCTCACAGGAGTTTGTCTTTATAAGAAATCCCATCCATGAAAGGTTTCTGTTGTCTCAACCCTTGTTGCCTGGCTAATCCTGGGAAAGTTCAATCCTAGGAGGGCCTACTGGGTGTCAGATTTAATGGTTCTATGACTGCCAACCCTCCATAAATTCATGGAATACTGAAGACACCATATGTGCAAACACTATCCTTAACCATCTGTGGCAACAAGAGTGTTTCACTATCTTAGCTTATTTCTTGGAGTGAATTTTTGAGAAAATTTTTTGGGGGGGCTACATCTTCTGCACCCACTTTTAAAAATCCACTCATGTCCATGGTATTCAAAATCTTAAAAGTTACCTCTGGGACTTTGTATGAAAACAGGCTCATTGGCTTGAATCATTTATGAAACAAATAAGCTGACTATATATGAAAGAATACTATTTAGAGAGCTCTCATCTTAAACAGCTGTTTTATTGGAATACAGCCTCAGAAACTCCCTTGGCAATATCAAAAAGAGCGTATAAATCAGATTTACAACAAAGTTTATCCCAGCACTTTGGGAGGCCGAGGCAGGTGAATCACAAGGTCAGGAGTTCGAGACCAGCCTGGGCAACATGGTGAAACCTCGTCTCTACTAAAAAATACAAAAAATTAGCTGGACGTGGTGGCAGGCACCTGTAATGCCAGCTACTCAGGAGGCTGAGACAGGAGAATTGCTTAAACCTGGGAGGTGGAGGTTGCAGTGAGCCAAGATCACGCCATTGCACTTCAGCCTGGGTGACAGTTTGAGACTCTGTCTCAAAAGAAACAAAAACAAGCAGAAAAACAAAAACACAATTTAAATTCTTTGTACACTCAATGCTCAACTGCCTGTTTTGAATACCCTGATGTGCAAAAAAAAAAAAAAAAAAAAAGAAAAGAAAAAAGGACACTCTACCCTTTATTCTAGAGTTTAGAATTTGGCTGTCACTGCTGCAGCCTAGCTTTGATTCTAGGTCAAGGAACCAGGGAGAGATGTAAAGTTTACCACTTTGAAATGTAAACTTCTACAATAAATTCTTAAGTAGATTCCGTTGGGTCAGGAAAGAAACGTTTATAAAAGTTAGTTTGAATTACTTGCTTTGGATGTATATTTGTATAACTCTTGACTATTTTGGGTACCAATTTGCAATTCTTTCTACCCCCAGGAAAAAGTTTTTGATCTCCTGTCTTACTGACTTTCTCTTTTAATCTTCTGTCTATGGGGCACACTGGTAATGGAGTATGTGTGAGTAGACAGTCATCTGAGAATCTGAGACCCTATAGAATACAACTGGACAGAAATGTGGGATGTACCTCATTTGGCTAATAAAACTTTCCTTTCTTTGAGCTGTCATCGGGAATGGTCTGAATCTTGGGAAAGGCATTGGTTAAAGCCATAAAGGGCCTTATGTTATCAGTCTCACATATGCTTGTTTTGGCTTTGAGTCATTTGTTTAGGTATACCTCTTGTTTAAAACTTTGGTTTATATCTAGAGTATGGTAGCAACTTTTTCCCCAATTTATCTTGTTTCCTATATTGAGCCTGACAGACATGGCTACCACTGCCACTGGGAACTGAACTAGTGAGCAGGCAAGGCAGACTCCTCACAGTCAGCAGGGTCTTGTGGCAGGGAGTGGGGTGGGTGGAGGTGGGGGAGACACTGCTCCCACAGCCAGCACCCCCATTCCCTCTGCTCCAGTGAAAGGCTGGCTGCTCAGAGTACAAAATATTTGCTCCTTAGATATTTAATTTTGTTTTAAAAGAGTCAAAAGTCAGCTTAATTAAAAGCTGGTATTAGGCCATTAAAAAAAAAAACACAAAAAAAACCTCTATGTTTTCCTTTAGATCCTATTTCCCCATGTTTCTTTGTTTGTGTGTTTTTGGCAACTGAAACCCCTTCTTAAATGTTTAGTCCCTTTGGTCCACTTCTTTTCCCGGTGGCAATAATCTTGGTGTATATATATATATATGTATATATATATATATATATATATATAAAAGGTGCAAAATTCCATTAGTCCTTTTGGAAAGCTTAAGATCTCCCCAGACTGGCTCCTCTAGGACTCATTCTTTCATTTACTTCTGTCCCCCATTCTGCCACCTTCAATTTCCCATCCAGTTTCCTTTAATCACTGATAAGTTACCCTGCAAACCCCTACTTTCTCCATTCAATGGTTAATGGATAAGAATTAGTAAGAACAAATATGAGAGTTCTAGTTATCACATAAAGGGTCTAAAAGAGACTTCCAGTGACTGTGAGACCTCTTGAGGAACACAATCAAGGTGCCACTGGCCATTTCTTGGGTCCCTTGTTCACCTCACAGAGCCCTAGGGGTCAGGAGTTGGTTTAGCTTTATTCATTAATGGGCTCCGCCTTAAATTGCATATCCAATTAAGACACAGAATCTAAATTAAAGTCACCTCCCAACTAAATTGGTCCCCAAAGTACAACTTTCTGGCATTTGGCTATTTTTAAACTCTTTGTAAAAGAAATTTACACCTAAAAAGAAAATCTTTATTTGAAATGGCATCTTCCTCCTCTGTACCTAAACCACCAGAAATTTTTACATGAGAAAGATATTGACTTAAACGTTTACATAAAAAACTATCTTACTTTTGTTTAAGATACTTTTCCTGACTATCATGCCTTAACTAGGCCTTTACCTATGCCGTTCTTTGTCTTGGCAAAAAAATGATATTTAGATCTAAGCTCTGTGTCTTTGAGATATAAATTTCTACTTTGTTTCACCTAAGAGTCATCCCTTTGGAAGTACAAATGTGGCTGGGCACGGTGGCTCACACCTGTAATTCCAGCACTTTGGGAGGTTGAGGCAGGTGGATCACGAGGTCAAGAGATTGAGACCATCCTGGCCAACATGGGGAAACTCCGTCTCTACTAAAAATACAAAAATTAGCCAGGCGTGGTGGCATGCACCTGTAGTCCCAGCTACTCAGGAGGCTGAGGCAGAAGAATCACTTGAACCTGGGAGGTAGAATTTGCAGTGAGCCGAAATTGCACCACTGTACTCCAGCCTGGTGACAGTGTGAGACTCCATTTGAAAAATAAATAAATTAATTAAATTAAATTAAAAAAAGAAGTACAAATGTAGGGTTGCCTAGTTAACAACTACTTAGAGCAATAAAACAGGTCATCAGAATAGTTATGTTCTAAATGAGGAAAAGAAACACTCTTTGGAAGCTGGCAAGTAAAGAATCTTATCCAAACCTAGAAGATCGGCTTCTGTCTGAGTAGCTATAGGACTACATGTCTATGTGTATTAAGTATACATGATATTTCTATATAATTTGAGATAATCTTTGGTAAATACAGCTAATTTAAAAATTGTTGGTAAAATAAAATGTCTTTAGAATTTTCAGTACTAAAAATAATTTAAAATTTTTTGCGTGGGACTATTGATCAGATTTTGGCTTCCCCTGTTAGCAGTCTTAAGATCATGAAACTGTTGCCTCTGTAATTTTTTTATATTTGTTTGGTTTTTCCATAAGCTGAAGCTGTAAGGGCTGCCTGCTGGGCTCCCCTGAAGCCTTGCACACATCTTGCTGTGAGCTTATGTCTTTGTTTTTGAGCCTCTGGATTCTCAGATCTGGACAGGTGGCCATGGAGAGGTGTGTCTACAGCACCTGGGTCACCAGCTGCCATCTTCACAGCTCTGTCTTCTGTTCTGAGCTCCACACCTGGTGTGTGAATTCAGAACCCAGGTGGGTCCTGCCTTTCACAGCCATCCTCGATGATGCCTTTTGTGGGTACTTGAAACCCAAGATGACTAGAAAAAATATTTGGGAGGGTACCTCTGTCATAGTTTCAAAATTATTTTCAGTAATTTAAAATATTAAAGTCATGTTATGTTAAATTAAGTAATAATCATAAAATGTCTGAGTCATTTGTAAGTTAAATACTAAAACATTAGTTATTAATATGTTTGTTTATATACTTTGACATCGTTTTATATCATAAAGCTAAACTTAGATCTGTTAATTAATGAAAAATTGAGAAAACATTTTTATAAAAAATTATGAAATGCAATTCATCTGAAAATATGAAACAGCTCAAAATTACTTTCTAGGTTTTCACTAGAAATTAGAGCTACCAAAAGTCAAAATTTAAATTATTATATGTAATTAAGAGTATTAAAATAAGAGAAATAATTTTATATGCAAAGTGTATGAGAGAAGCAAGATATGCTTTTGTTGAGGAAAGTTATAAATGCATGAAGATGTGTGTTTGTTAAAAAAATAGTTTTGTTTCTCAGCGAAGAAAAAAATGACATAGATTTCTACTTTGAAAAGTTGGGGAAATGGATACAGAAAGTTAGGGAAAGGGAATTTCTAAATTTTGTGTGACTAAATATTCATTAACATTAAATCTTCGTTCATCTCTTAATGGACACTTAGGTTGTTTCTAAATCTTGGTTGTTGTGAGTAGTATTGCAATAAACATGGGCCTGAAGATATTTCTTTGAGACACTAATTTCCTTTCTTTTTATAGATACCTAGCAATGGGATTGCTTTATTATAAGAGTTTTTAGGTTGAGGCTTAATAGCAAAAGTCACTAATGAAAAACTAGAGTTTGATTTTTAATAAGAATTTTATATAGTATTAAAAAGAAATAGTAAAAGATTGTGGTACCTCCTTTGAGTAAACTCAAAAAACAGTGGGGAGAGAGAAAAGGAAACAGAGACTGTATGTCTGATGCTGATTTTGTTATGTCTTTTGATTATTTGGGAACTGAGTCTCTTCTCTTGGTGAAGATTTTTGCTTTCTGAAACCTTTTCATTATCACTGTGGCTAAATGAATGACTGTTATTTTACAGTGATTTGTGATCCTATTTTGGTCAAGTATTTTAAGCCTTTGACATATTTGACAGGCTTCTCAAAATCAAATTTCACAAATCAAAATTAAGTCTTTTTGACCTCAAACTTACTTTGGGATGTTACAGACAGCCCCTGAGGCATCTGAAAAAGAGATAGTAAACATATTTATTTGATATGTTAAGTTATATGGGAAGCATTGTCCAAAAAGTAATAATGTTGACTCTTCTTTGCATTATATTTGCATAAATGTGTTCCAAAATTGTATGAGATTCTTAAAAATCTGATATATTAAATTGTAGGCCACAGAAAATAACTAAAGGAGTTTGTCAATTGCATCTCTAACCATGGCCATTTTAAGCCTTTTGTCTGCAGTAAATTGCTTTCTTCTGATGCTTTTTTTCCTAAAAACTTTTTGCAAATGCTAAAGTATTGTGTCTTCAAGGAAGTTTATGGAAAAGACTACAAAAAGTACCCTGAAATACAGGTTTCTGACAACTTTAAGATCATACAATTGGACTAGGTAAGAATTTTGAAAACTCCAATTAGAAAACAGGACTCATAAAATTACCAACCTAGCATCAAGCACAGTAAGAATTAAATATGTGGGACTGAACTGATGAATAATTGAAATGATTTTTATATTTTTTTGTTTAAACTGTTGCTCATTTTTTAATGTTTTCTTTTCTAGAGTTAAGAAAACTTTTTTATTTTATGCAATTTGTAGCTTACAGGAATTGGATGAATCATACTTTTGTGAGTAAAATTGAAATGTTTACCTTTTTCACTACCTAATCCCTCCAGAATTTGTAAATTGTTTGGGATTATTCTTATTTTATGGCAGTATACATATTTGTATGAGCTCAATAAAGATATTTTTTCTTTTATTACAAGTCACAATTGGAGATACTGTTATTTTACCAAAGCTTTGACTGGAATGTCATATTTTCAAATGTGACCAGGCTGCTTTGAGGTGTTCAGCTTGACTTTATAAAGCCAATAGACTTGGAGAAAGATTAACCTGATACTTTGTCTATATAGTTCCTTTACATAGTTTCTGACCTTGCAGTAAGTAAAGAATGTGACAGGCCCAGGAAACTCAAGATATTTTGAGGACCTTAAGAAGAATTCACCCAATTCATACAGATATTACAGACACTGTCTTTGGTTTGGCTCCTAAGCCTTTAGAAGTTTTCCAAAGTCTAATTCAAAAGTCCTTATGAAAAAGTTCCGTAAAGCTAACTTAAAAATAATCTATATGACAAGTACTATTCTTGCTGCACTTTATACAAATAATCAGGACAAGTATAATAAGACTAAAATTTATTTTGCAAATAAATTAGTCTTACTATAATTTATCTTTGGTAGAAGTAGAAGTGAGAGACTAAGGAGAGAAAAACTATGTGTCAAAAAAAAAAAAAAAACCTATAGTACATTTGTAATGAGATTCCAGCTCATTGTGGCTTTTTAAAATGAAATTTTATTATTTATCTGAAATCTAGACTAAATCCTAAATTTTTAGTTTCCTCCAGTATCTGGCTGTGACTCTCCAGATTAACATTTCCAACTTTTCTCCTACCCTTCTGACTTAAAATCACTAGAGATTAAAACTGCTTCTCTTAAAGCCCTACAAACTGAAACTAGACAACTTGACATAAATGTTGGGAGAAATTGTTATAGCAACTTATAAGCAGCCTTCACGCCTATTGACTTATGAATTATGCAGAAAGTTTACTAGAACACTTGACTGAAATTACAACCTAAGAACATCTGTCAGTTTGCCACTGCCTGCCCAATCCAACTAAAGATGCTTCAGAGACTCTAGAAAAACTACTTTATAGACTACTCCAGACATTAACCTTTTTTTCTTCTTCTTCTATTTCTATAGAAATTCCCCTTAAAGATCTGTTTGCATAAATCATATATAGATGCCTAGCTTTGTGTTTTCATCTGCAATGCCACCTCCTGGAATGGGACTCAACTGTTTAACTCTTGGAATGAGACTCAACTATTTAACTGACCTGACAGATTCTCATATTCTCAAGACTGAGTTTGATTCAAGAAGATTTGGCTGCTGGTCCTAATCCATGCTTTTGTTTTTCTTCGCCAATCTCTTATCTCACAATCTCTAAGCCAATTCTCTCTATAGCCACCAATCCCAACTTAATATATGAAACTTTCTGAAAATAAACTTTCAGCTGGGAGACTAAAAAAAAACAAAAATATTTCACCCTAAAATATACTTCTTTGAAATATTTTGAGTTAGCTATTCAGAGAGCCTGCAGACAGGAATAGCCTTGAAAAGCTGCCTTTTATGGAAAATATTTGCATTTGTTGAGAAAAATCTACTTCAGTGAAATAAACTACCAAGTTTCTCTCAGGCCTGCCCCTTTATCGAGATCTAGGAAAGATGAACTCCACCACAGGCTTCCATCTATTCTTTCTGAGGTCTGCTACCTGTGAGGCTTCATCTGCATAACAAGACTATCTTTGCTGGCCTTACCTTTGTTTCTCCTTCTCTCCCATAACCTGTTTTGCCATGGTTCAGGCCCTTATTTTTACTGTAACCTCAAGATGATATAAAAGGATAAACCATCTGGCCTTTTCTTTGAATTTTCATATTTTGTATGACTTCCATGCACACGTGTGCACTTTAAAAATCTGTAGCTCTTTTCTTCTCTTTCCTCTTTTTTTTTTTTTTTTTTTTTTTGGTGGGATCTTGCTCTGTCACCCAGGCTGGAGTGCAGCGACACAATCATGCCTCGCTGCAGCCTCAATCTCCTGGTCTCAAGCCATCTTCCCACCTCAGCCTCCAGAGTCACTGGGACTACAGACCTGAGCCACCACACTGGGCTAGTTTTTTCTGTTGTTTGTAAAGATGAGGGTCTCTCTATGTTACCCAGGCTGTTCTTGAATTTCTTGGCTCACATGACCCTCTCTTGCCTTGGCTTCCCAAAGCACTGGGGTTATAGTTGTCAGCCACCACACCTGGCCCCTTTTCTCCTTTTAATCTGCTCTTTGTCAATTGATTTTCAGCAAACTTTCAGAAGGCAAAGGGAAAGTTTTACCTTGACCCCTTCCCTGCTTTGATGATTACTGCTTGCCCCTGATGTTTACTGAAAAAGAAAGAGCAGGGCTGTGGTAAATTTGGGATGTGACTTAAATTGTTTTATGGGTAGAGGCAACTTTGTCTTTCTTGGAAATCAATAACTCCTTGTCTTGATTTTACAATTCTGTTCTGTGGACCCTGATCTGGTTTCCTGCTTCATCTTGTGACCAAGGGACACACAAACCACTGCTTGATCAAGTAAGGGAAAAGAGGGAGTTACTAGAGTTTAGTTACTCTAGGTGCACGAGATACAGCTCACCAGTGAAATCATCCTGACCAACAGGATGGTTTCTCCAACAGGAAATATCACTACCTCAGAAGTATTCAGATCATGTTTTGTATTTTGTTTTCCTATTGTTTTACTTTTCATTTATCCATTTATGTTTGCTTTTTATATTTTGGAAATTTCATAATGGTTTTGGTTTTCTAATGACATTCTATATAGCTTCTCCATACTTATGGATTTATTCATTGAATAAATTAATTGTTATATATTTTCATTGGCTTTTAGAAGGGAAAGTGAATAGGCACATATTCTTAGTTTTTCATTGTGGTGCAATCTCCCTGCTACTGATGATAATTTTATGGGAAAACTTGACACTCTGTCAATGATGAAGGAATTCCAAGGCACATTATTTCCCCACAAGTGCAAGTCCCTGAAGCACAGTATGAGAAACAGTGATCAATTGTTGTGATTTCATTCTCATCCTGCAACATTTTAAATGTGTTCTGGCTTCCCATATGTCTCTACCTATAGAAAGAATGTAAATGATGCTCTTTGAGTGTTCTACTCTGTATGGTGGCAATTTCTTATTGTAAATTATAAAGTACTCATTCTGGTTTGAAACATTAATCTGTGGATTTTGTCTCATGTTCCTCTAAGCCTAAAGATGAAGCATCCCATGACTATGAACAGAATTAAGTTTCTTAAAATTTAATGTTGAAAATTAGACCTTGGATATGTAATCATCAAAAGTCTGGACTTTGGCACCAAATATCCAGAGTATGAATTCCAGATTTTTCATTGAATAACTATGTCATATTGTTAGCTCAGTCCCCTCATCATAAAAAAGTAGTTTGGCTTATAGACTGTACTTTATAAATATTGACAAAAGACCAGAAAGTAAATTCACATAAGTCCTATTTCCCAAAGTAAACCCACAGGATATTAAATGTTTCAAAGAAGAGAAGTCCTACTGTGAGAAACAAAGGTTAAACAGGATTATTTAATTTATATCTTCTTAGATCCCATAACATGTTATATATATCATGTTTGAGTCTTTAATAGTGGTATATGATATATAGATAAACTTATTTGACTCCAAAAATATTTTATCTCAGAGTAACTTGCAGAATTTATTTTCTCAGATAAGACTTTGGATGCACCAAGGTCAATGTCACCTTGATGGTCTCTTGGGAGACCGCAGAGCTGTTATGTATGCAAGAGACAATACCCAAGACATCTCCATGTGTCTGGTAGTGAATGAATTTTTAGTATTTGTAGCTTTCTGGAGTGCAAACTCAATACCAAGAAATTCTGCATCATAAAAGTGCTCCATACTTTTAATAGTCCCCATCTTTTTTCATTATTGCAACTTATTTTTCAAGATCCCAGTCCCCGAGGCCTGTTGAGCAGAATGACTAATCCAGGAATGCAAAAAAAATGGGCAAAAACACATATTAAATAGGCTAAACTATTGAGCTTCCTCATCTAATATTTGTTTCTATTTGGCTGCTATTTTTTTTTACCAGCAGATGCCTCTTGGATACATAACACTTAACCACATCCAAGAGTCCCATTCAGTGCTAGGTTTTTCTGTTACTGTGGGGGGACTGTTTTTGAGCAGTTGATCATTTGGGAATTTGAAAATATATCATAAGGTTGCCTCCTTCCTCTGTTGGTGAACGGGACTGACTATAACCCTCATAGGGAATGTGGGAGAGATTATTTATAGTCCTCTGTAAGGGAAATAAAACTCCAAGTGAAATATCACTAAAAAGATTATTTTCCAACATCCACAAACATCTCTTTTTGGCAAATGAATTTCTCTTCCTCTATTACCAAATACTTGGGGCAAGGAAGACATAGAAACAGAAAATCATCCACTGGTGGGACTGGGAGTCCTTGCACCCTTAACTTGTTCCTATCCAGTCCACAGTTTGCTCAAATTATATCCAAATAGTAAGAAGGGGTATTCTGAATATGTTTGAGTGATGTAGCTAGTTCATAATGTTTTCAGGTCAAATTATCCTGAGAAACTTGTACAATAAGTAAAGAAAATGTTACTTGAACTTAGAAAAAGTTACTCAAACAATAAAAAAACCTTATTTAAACTTAGTTGCTGAAATACATACTTACTCTTAACTATAGGAAGACATTTAGGTGTTGTCCTGAATAGGCAAGCTGTCTCCCAAAAGGTGTCCTTAGTGACTTTCATTCTTTCTGAGAATCTAAAAGGTCAAAGCTAGAATTATCTGAACCATCTAACTGCAATCATGAAATTAACTTGATATCTATAAAATCTTGATACCTATTTTATTTTATTTTATTTTGCTTTAAGTTCTGAGATATATGTGCTGAACATGCAGATTTGTTACAGAGTTATACATGTGCCATGGTGGTTTGCTGCACCTATCAACCTATCATCTATATTTTATGTCCTGCATGCATTAGGTATTTGTTCTAATGCTCTCCTTCCCTTTGCCCCCCTACCCCCACCCCCTGACAGGCCCTAGTGTGTGTGATGTTACCCTCCTTGTGTCCATGTGTTCTCATTGTTCAACTCCCACTTATGAGTGAGAACATGCAGCATTTGGTTTTCTGTTCCTACATTAGTTTGCTGAGGATGATGGTTTCCAGCTTCATCCATGTTCCTGTGAAGGACATGAACTCATTATTTTTATGGCTGCGTTGTATTCCATGGTTTATATGTGCCACATTTTCTTTATCGAGTCTATTATTGATGGCCATTTGGGTTGGTTCCAAGTCTTTTTTTTTGAGACAGGGTCTTGCCCTGTCAGCCATGCTGGAGTACAGTGGCACAGTCATGGCTCACTGCAACCGTGACCTCCCGAGCTTAAGTGATCTTACCACCTCAGTCTCCCAAGCCACTGGGACTGCAGGCATGTGCCACCATGTATGTCCAGCTAATTTTGGTTTTGTTTTTTTGTAGAGACAAGGGTCTCACTATGTTGCCCAGGTTGATCTCAAACTCCCAGTCTCAAACAACCCTCCCACCTCAGCCTTGCAAAGTGCTAGGATTCCACTTTTTAACAAAGTACTATATCTGAGTATAATTGTGAATTTTACCAATTTAAATCATGTGATCCACAAAGTATCACTCTCACATTCTCAGGCAATGCAACAATAATCATAGTCACCATAATGGAGGTTAAAGAAACTTTAATTTTTCTTAAATTTCTGCAACCTCAAAAGAGGAGAAGGTAGAGGAAGGGAGAGAGAAATGAATACAAAACAGACAGCAGCAGCTGCAATGAATGTCCTCTTTATCTTACTGTTGCTTTTAGAGTTATTGACACAATTAATCACTCATATTTGCATGGAGATTTATAAATTTACAAAGTGAACAAGCAGTAGTTACATGAATCATAATTAGGATAATCCATTAAAAACCCTAATAAATGGACATTTAACTAAATGGAAATGGAACTAAGGGCTCCCAACTCATCTTTTATCAACTAGTTTGATGATGGTAGGGTGTGGCCTTTTCTTGCTTGCCACGGTGTCTGGCTTAGAATATGCAGTTCATAAATATCTGTCAATTAAATGAACTAGAAATTGGTGACAAAAGATGAAGAAGTCCATTGCCTGAAAATGCTGTTTCTTAAGCACAGATTTGAATGCATACATGGGAAAGATGTCTACCGTTAGTTTTCTAAGCATCTATAATTAGATAGTAACATCAATCTCTGGAAGGGAGAGACTAGTCATTTGAAATGATGTGTATGCATGGGACAGTGTAAGGGCATTGAGAGAAAGATGAAATCGGAGAAAGACAGAGACAGTTTAGTGTAAAGATATGTTCTGTAACCAACGACATTCTGAAAGTTAACCAATCCATTGTTCTTATAGCATAAAGAACCACAATCTGTCAAATCAAAAATATCATTTTTTTTGGCCTCAACTCTGGGGCCAAAACTAGTACTAGTACAGTGCTAGTATTGTATTAGACTGACTCCACACGGAGGAAGACTGGGACATCCATGCCAACTTTAGTGTTATTTCTGAATGTCTGAAAGTGAAAAATGTAGGTTTTCTATTGAAATACCACAAAAATAAGGGTAAAATGCAATACTAAGCTAGTATTACACAAGGCGAGTGCAGATGTTCCTGTTGGTCTGGAAATGTGCTCTCACAGTAGGTTCTGCCCCCAGAAACCTGTTTGCAGAGAGAGAGAGAGAGAGATAAAAAAAAGCTGTCTCTTCATAGTCTCCCTAGCACCAGCTGACTGTCCCTGGACACATGGTTAGGAAAATGATGGTGAGATTTCAGTTACAACACAATTCATACGCATGCTAGTATATTTGAATTGGCAGCTCCAAAAGAAGTATCTGCTAAGTCTAGTTGATATAAGGCCCAAGCTGTGATGCAAAAAGCCAGCTGTGGCTGCTTCCTCATTAGGAGGCTTGCTATCAGGAGAGTGATAAGCAGCACAGAGTGTTGGTGGGGGAGTAGGCAGTGCTCTCAGTTTTCCCAACTCATGACAGCATCAAATGCTGAAAAGAGAATAAAAATGGCAAGGAGAAAGTGAAATGAACGGGTGTGCAGCTAAATTAGTCAGAAGGTATCTTTATGCACAAAGAAATTTGAACAAGTTTTCTCATGTATTATTAGTCAGGACTTGAGAAATGCAAAAACCCTATTTATATTAGATTAACCTCAAAAGGGAATGTAACAAACTGAAGAACAGAGAAGTTCAAGGATGAAGCTGGCTTCAGGCATGTGGAGAATATGGGTCTTGAATGCTATCTTCAGGGCCCTCCGTCTCCCTCATTCCTGCTTTCTTTTTTTTCTGGGCTGGCTTTATTCTTTCCTTTTGCATATATATTTTCTTTCAAGTGACTGGGAACATGGCCGCTGGATCCCTAAACTCAAATCCTCCCAGACTAGAACCTCAAGTAGAAAAAAACCTTTCTCTTTACAAATGTCATAGATTGATATCAAGAAAAATTCTAATTCCTCTATAGAGTCCTATGTCCAGTCTTGTACTAGTCACCTTGCCAAGAATGTTGGATTCTTTGATTGGCCTGAGTTAACACAAAAGTCTTGGACACTGTCATTACAGGCATTATTAGAGCCACTTAGAGAGAGCTAGGGAGTTTCCTTAGAGAAAGTGAAAACTGGTCCCAGAAGTGAGGTGGAAAACGTGGAAGATATTCTTCCCAAAAATCAATCTGTTTCATAAAGAAGCAGAGTGGGAAAATGCACTGAAAAGAAACAGAACTCACCACTAAAGGGGCAATGTTCTGATATTGGGACAAATACACATATCGGGAGACACATGCTCCTTGAAGCTTGTGTAGCTGTATCTTAAATCAAAGCATTTTCCTAATTAATATCAGCAGGATCTTTTTTATTGTAAGTAACAAATGCCCAAAGCAAACTGGCTTAGCAAATAAAGGATTTAAGTAACTAAAAAATCCAAAGGTTCTGGTGTCTTATGGCAAGGCTTGATTTAGAAGTTCAAACAAAGTGACTGTGACCTAAATTCTGGTTCTTTGTTTTTCAGTGTTATCTCAGTGTTGGCTCCACCATCAACAAACTTCCCCTTCATAGTCTGGAGAAGGCTACCAATAGCTCTCAGATTATCATGCTTTCTCATTCATGATAAGCACAGAAGTTAATTGTTCTCTAATTTCTAAATAAGAGATCTGGGGTTCAGTCTAATTGAATTAATTGGATATCAGTTAGATACCCAGTGAACCACTGAAATCAGAGAAATTGAATTATACCAATTATTATAAGCTTGAGCCCTTGGTATCAACCTGAAGCAATGAACTATGTGAGGTAAGATGACTATCAAAGAAATATTTAAGTGCTGTTCCCAAGAGATAGAATAGATGCTGAGTGGGCAAAAACAGTAAACGTTCAAAATAAAAAATTTTACCATAACCTCTTTGATGACTCAAGCACATTTCAGGACTTTATAATGCTTCAGAGTCCTCACAATGATTATTAGTTATTATAAAGTGTTGTGGTACATCTGATGTCCAGAAAAGATCTTGCAAATCGTATTTTCTAAGCCTCTTATCTTAGAGAATAGGAAAGAGGTTCAGAAAGGTGAAATGGCTTCTCAAAAGCTATAGTTAGCATGTACTATAATTATAATTTTAGTCAAACTTTCCTTGTATTTCCTTGTCATGATTGAGACAGTAGTCAGTACCACTGAATTATTATTGCATGAGTTTTGGAACACTGTAAAATGCTTTCATCACTGGATGAAGGCTTACAAATGATGAAGTACCATTTTTCTCTATTTTATGGTCTTTTTTTTGAGGACTTTTTAAAAACCACAGCTCTGTCTGATGGTTTCTCTAGTTTTACTGAACATTTTTTTTTATCACTCTTTCATGCACTGAATGAAAGATGGTCCTAGGCACAAATCCACAATGGGTTTTAAGTAAAAATGATTAGTTATGTGTAAAATAACATTGCATTCAAGTTGTTTTGCTGCAGCTCTTTTCGACGCTCCACAAAATCACATAATTTCTACATCATATTACCTATTTTTCCATGAAAGGAATACAAGAATAGTTTCAAAGAAAATTTACAATTTTGGTATAAATTTACACAGCTACATAGAAAAAATCTCAAGTGTCAATATGAAAAAGAAAATTTGCAACAGGATTATAAAATCCTCTATAAAGCAAATTTTATGCTTTCAAAAATTACGCTTTAAAATTTTTTTGTTTGTTTTCATGAAAAAAACATGCAAAACTCTAAAGTTGTTATATTGTGATTTCTGATACCACTGAATATTCCCAATCTCTACTTCAGATTCTGTTCACTAAGGGTCAATAAATAAGCCTAGAGGAGGTATTATGTAGGATGACTAAACAAGAAGTATGCACTCACATTGCTACCATATTTTTATTCTAATGATCTTGAATCTCTTGTTAGTTTGTTAAGTCATCCTTTTAATATCCCTAAAATTGTAGATGCCTAAATCCTTAAAAATAGCAAATTAAATTCATCAATATACAAAAAATGATAAACGTTTTACTAAATGGGGTTTATTCTACAAATGCAAGATTAGTTTACCATATGCAAATCAGCCAATATAGTTAATCACTTTAGCAGATTGAGGAAGAAAGGTCATATAATAATACAAATAGGTGTTTTTGATAACTACCCATTTATATTAAAAACTCCACAAACAAGAAATAAAACTTCCTCAAGCTATTTGAGCATCCATGAAAAACTTAGAGCTAATGTAATACTTAACAGTGAAATATTAAACGCTTTCTTTTTAAGATCAGGAACAAAACAAGGTTGTATACTTTCATCACTTCTATTTAACATTGTGCTAGAGCTAGTGCTGGTGCAATGGGACAAGAAAAGATAGGAACAGACATGCAGATTGGAAAAGAAATACTAAGACTGTCTTTATCTTTGACATGCAGATAACATGATAATGTTATTTAGAAAGTTCTAAGGACATCTATGAGAAAAGTACTAAAGCTAATAACTAAATATAGCAATGACACAGGATACAAAGAATATAAATATCAGTTGTATTTATGTATGCTAGCAATGAAAAATTTGAACTTGAAATTTAAAAATGCCATCTACAATAGCATTCAAAACATTAAACAGTTATGCAAAAATATAATAAAAGATATATATATACATAAGATAGCTACATTAAAAACTATGAAACATTTTATAGTTCACTTAAAAAGGACTAAATGAGAGATACACTGTGTTTATGGGTTGGAAGACTCAATACTGTTAAGGAATTAATTTTCCACAAATTGATCCATATGTTCAGTACAGGTTCAATAAAAATATTAGCAAGATTATTTCTAGAAATTTAAAAGCTAATTTAAAAATTTATTTTAAAAAAACAAAGGAACTAGAATAGCCTAAATAACCTAGAACAAGAAGAACAAAATTGAAAAACTTACTCTACCTGACTCCAGATTTGCTATAAACCTACAATAGTCAAGTAAGTGTGGCAAAGGATGAACAAATAGGCCAATGGAACAAAATAGAGTGAAAATTAGACTTACACATATATGGTCAAATAACTTTAACAATGATGTCAAAGTAATTCATTGAGGTAAATAAAGATCTCTTAAATAAATGATATCCATATAAAAAGAATCTTGTTGAATTCATAATAGCTTTATTCATATTGGCCCCAAACTGTAAACATCCTAGAGGTCCATCAAAGAATAAATAAGCTGTGTTATTTTACAAAATAGTGTTCTACTCAGCAATAAAGAGAAACAAACAATTTATATATGCAACAATATAGATGAATCTCAAAAATATTTTGCTGAATGAAATAAGCTAGAAACAAAAAAGGTGGACACTGTTTGGCTCAGTGAAATTCCAGAATAAGTAAAATTAACCAGTGGTGATACAAATCAGATCATACTTCTCAGAGATATCAGTTCATTGAAAAAGGGCATGACAGAATTTTGTAGAATGGTAGAAAAGTTCTTATTCTTGATATGCATCCTATTTTCCTATGAGAGTGAAAGAGACTGAAAATGTGGCTACATGTTAACAATCAGTGAATATAGATCAAAAACATAGGAAGTTTACATTACTATTCCAGTGTTTTTCTGTGGGCTTAAAATTTGTCTTACATAAAATGGTTTTTTGAAGAAAGTAATTAATTTTGTCCAATTTTCATTATGAAAAGATTTGAAAAGACTTATAGCAAGAATACATACAAAATTATAATTATACAAGAATGCATAAAATAAATTATACAGTAAAATGTAAAATGAGGTCTAGAGAAAAACAGGACCAAGAAAAGTTTATTACAAATCTGCAACCATATATATCTTAAAGCTTTAAATTTATCTCTGTGCTTCTAAAACAAAAAGCAGTAAAAAAAAAAGTTACATAATAACTACCATAAGGAATATGAAGATTTATCTTTGTTGGATCATGAATGTTATGCTAGCTTTATAAAATTGTAAAAAGAAGCTGTTTTCCCATCTTTTTTAAGTTCTGGAACATTTTGTATGATATAGAAATTTTGTTCTTTATACTTTGAAGAAATTTATCTATTAAAACCACCTCTTCTCTGAATCACTTTATTAGTGATATTTTGAACACTATTTTAGTCATCTGCTTAATAGTCTATTCTGGCATTATACTTTATTCTGATTAAATTTAGGAATTTTTATAGTTTTCTGGAATTATATACTTTTATTTTTAACATCTGTATCTATTTGTATATTATTGTTTTAAATTTCTTCTCTTCTATGGGCCTGCTAGGCTTTTTTGCTTGTATCATTTTCTAAAGCAAAATTATTTTTCATTGTTCAGTCTAAATAACTATTTACTGCTTCTTATTTTCCTCTATTTATTGTTCTTATGTTTGGTTTATTACTTTTGTCTAATTATTTAAGTTAAATGCTTAGCTCACATATTACCACCCTATTTTCACTTTTACTTTTAATATAAAAACTTTTAGATCATAACTTTACTACTATTCCAAAAGGGGTTCACTTGCTTTTTATTACTTAAATAATTAGAAGTTGTAATATTATCTTTTTTGAAAACTAAGATTCCTTTTTATTTCTTTTTAAAAAATCTCTAAGTTTAGAAACATTTTCCCTTTACACCCTTGTTACTTATGTCTAGATTTAAAATTAGAGAATATGGTTGCTATAATTTCTAATTTTTCTTGTAAGTTTTTAAAGGGTAAATTTTTGAAGATTCATGAGCACTTCATATACTCTTTTTGATCTTGGGTATAAAGCTATCTGCATATCTCTTTAACAAGCCTCTTTAGTGTTATTCAGATTCTCCATTTTAATACTATATATCCATTTCTGTTTCCTTGGGCTGTCTCAAAAACAGTGATGTTTTCAGATTTCTGAAGTCAATTTATTTCTTTCTATTTTTCCTTATAATACTATAGTTGTCTTATATTTTTAACTATATTTAAATATAATGTATATTGTATATTATATATTATATTGTATATTGTATATTGTATATTGTGTATTGTATATTGTTGTATATTGTGTATTGTATATTGTATATTATATTATAATCTATATTATATATACATTATTTCACAAGTTTTATGTCTTCACTACTTGTCCTGGATGCTTTATGCTTTTAATTCAAATTTGACATTAATTTTGCCATTTTTGCTGTTTTTTATATATTTAGCCATATATTGCTTAACATTTTTAATTTCTGTGGTCAGAAACACAGATTAAATAAAATAACTCAAAAGTAAAAGTTTGTTAGTAGATATTGAGGTTTCTCAGAAGAATTAAACCACCAAATCACAGAAAAAAAGAACACAAGCATCCAATTTTGAGGACACAATGCACATTGTGCATGGCCATGCACATTTGCATGGCAATGCACTTTTGCATGGCACATTTGCATGGCAAAATCTACCTATGGTTTGGAAAGAACATGTTCTACAGCCTGAGTGAAGCAGAGAGTTTGTATTGGGGATGAGTAGAAAAGGGGAATTCCTATTGATTTCTAAATGCTTGATGTCCCTTCTCCCTCTTTTTAAGACCCAACCTGATAACGTAGATTTAAAGTGCTTACCTTCTATATTATGTTTCATTATTTGTACTAAATTAGTTCATAGTATTATATTTTTTATTATATGCCTTATAAGTCAGGTTTGTACTTTTGTGTCTGGAATTAATTCCTGCTGGTGGCTTCTTGGTCTTGCTGACTTCAAGAAGGAAGCCATGGACCCTCTTGGTGAGTGTTACAGCTCTTAAAGATGGTGCATCTAGAGTTTGTTCCTTCAGATGTTCAGATGTGTCCGGACCGGTCGGTCCCTGGTCTCGCTGACTTCAGGAATGAAGCCGCAGACCTTCACAGCGAGTGTTACAGCTCTTAACAGTGGTGTGTCCAGAGTTATTTTTTCCTTCTGGTGGGTTCATGGTCTGGTGTCTGGAGTTGTTTGTTTGTCCCAGTGGGTTCGTGGTCTCGCTGACTTCAGGAATGAAGCCACAGACTCTCACCCTGAGTATTACAGCTCATAAAGGTAGTGCAGACCCAGAGTGAGCAGCAGACCCAAAGAGTAAGCAGCAGCAAGATTTATTGTGAAGAGTGAAAGAACAAAACTTCCACAGCATGGAAGGGGACCCCAGTTGGTAACCGCTGAGGGCAGCCTGTATTCCCTTATTTGGCCTTGCCCTCATCCTGCTGATTGGTCTATTTTACAGAGTGCCGATTGGTCCATTTTACAGAGTGCTGATTGTTGCCTTTACAATCCTTTAGCTAGACACAGAGTAATGATTGGTGCATTTATAATCCTTTAGCTAGACACAAAAGTTCTCCAAGTCCCAACCCATGCCAGAAGCCCAGCTGGCTTCACCTCTTACTTTTACTGGTGGCTGGGAATTCTTAAATAAAATAAAAAGTGATTAGTTGTCAAAGTTTACTTCAATCATAGCTAAGAAAAGTTTGACCCATCAATCTTCTCTTTTGTGGCTGTAAGATCTCTGTTTTCATTCATCAAGAAGAAGCCTTTCTCATTTTCTTTGAGATGGAGTTTTGCTCTTGTTGCCCAGGCTGGAGTGCGATGGCTTGATCTGGGCTCACCACAACCTCCACCTCCCGGGTTCAAGTGATTCTCCTGCCTCAGCCTCCCAAGTAGCTGGGATTACAGGCATGTGCCACCACACCTGGCTAATTTTCTAATTTTAGTAGAGACGGGGTTTCTCCATGTTGGTCAGGGTGGTCTCAAACTCCCAACCTCAGGCGATCCACCCACCTCGGCCTCCCAAAGTACTGGGATTACAGGCATGAGCCACCACACCCAGCCTGCCTTTCACATTTCAATCTTTGGAGTCATGCTTAGGGGATTAATAGAAGATCACCCAATGTCCCTATTCAAGAGAAATTCTCAGGGTTAAGCCAAATTCTCATAACTCAGGGATGAATTACACAAATTTTGCATTTTCTTATATAAATTTTTACCCTGCCAACTTTGCGGCTTGTTTCAAATAACATTCGGTCACTAGCTGTCATCAGTCCATCATGATTTGCCATGGTAATTTCTTCCTATCACTCTATCTCTTCTGCATTACTGAGTAAACAATGATCAACCTAAAGCATGTGGAAAACAAAGTAAATAGAGACTCAAAACAAAACAAAATGAGAAGTGTGAGGTCAGTCTTTCAGCTTCAGGCTGTGGCAACCTTTCTAAGGAGTTTGCTTTGGTTCCCCAGTATCTCTATTTCAACCACACATATTTACTGATAGTTGTAATATGGTATTAATAATTTGTATAGGAAGAAGATACCAGCATTTCCAGACACGGAGTCCAAATAGTTTATTCTTCATTACCGAAGAGAAGTTTAGCCGAGGTCAGAGTTCTGTGAGCAGAACTGAGCTGGGCACAGAATAAAGATCCTAAAAGAAGTTCTGAGGACAGTAAAGCAAAGGAGGGAGGTTTCTATCAATAGCTAATGTGTTCTCTATACTACTGGTAATCCTGAGCCTACGCATGTGCTTATTCTGCATTTAAACTTAAAACTGGAGCCCACCTCCCTCTCTTTCTGCTGCAGGGGCTAAAAACAATTAATAGTTTGTGACAAGCTGTCACACTTTGTGTTTGTTTGAATAGGGATAAAACTATTACCAAACTTCCTCCTGGGCCAAGAGAGGAAATTACCACTAACATGTAAATCCCATGGAAAGTATAAGATATTAGAGGCGAAAGGAAAGTGCTAGCCAAATGTTAACATTTGTCTTCTTTAAAGAAGACAATGAGGAAAGAAAAAGAAAATCCTCTTCTCATTGCCCTCAGTAAATTGGAATCTGCTTTATTTAATTGGTGAAGATAGTTTCACTGTCCAAGCATCCGACTATAATCGCTTTACTACCGACAAATCTGTAAAAAGATAACTTTATTACATTAAAAATATCTTATCACTATGACTATGACACGAACGCAATGGGGCAGGCCCACTTCTTATTTGATGAATCCAATTTGGTTTTTATAAGGCAAATTTTTACTGGCAGATAAAAGCACTTTAAGATGAACTGTAAAATACGAGGGCAATGATATCTGGAACATTTTACCCGACTGAAAGCTTTACTGCTGTGGAGATACAAGAAGCTGACCTAATAAACTAGAGACTTGCAAAATTCATTCTATAAAAGTCCGGGATTTTACAGCTACACTGTCTTTTCAATTCCAAATGCAATCATGACACATAATTGTTGCTAAAATCTCTCTCACACACACTTTTGACTACTGTACTGTTTTGCGGAAAGATCACTCTGAATTCTTAAGTGAAAATAAGCACCTAATACCACAAACACCTGACAAAATGTTGATGCAATGTGCCAGTAATGAGCTATTAGGTTGGTGCAAAAGTAATTGCGGTGTTTGCTGTTTAAAGTGACCTGATCTCCCCACTATTCATCCCACAACCCTTCAGCCCTGCCACCTTCTCTTGCTCTGAGTGTTTTAACCAAGCTGAGGACGTTTAACATTCAGCCTTTTTTCTGGGAGTCAGTCCAGTGTCTTCTACCTTCAAGACATGAGATTTCTTTATGTATTAGAAAAATAATGAGTGAAGTTTTATTAATGAAGAGAGACTTTTAAAAGTAAATAGTTCTCAAGTATTTACTTATAGTGTTTGATGATATTAATTTTGCTGTCAAGTTTAACTTTTGTGAAATCATCATTGAATTAAAAATTGGGAGGAAAATGCTCTCATTCCGTAACTAAAATGTTTACAGCTCTCATGTTCGACATGTTAGGATAATAAAAACAAAATGACTGTAGTATTTTAGCTGCCCCAGAACAGTTACAATAAAATGTTAAAAATAAATATTTTACTGTAAGAATACTATTTCTATACTCTGTTCCTAATTCTATGAAAAACATATATTGTATAAAGAACATTTCAGTTATTAGTATATTTCTTATTTTACTATTGTTAATCCACATGGTATATTTTTGCTGAAAAGTCATAATTTGGAAAAGAAGCCTTAAAATATATGATTTACCAAAAATATTCATATCATCCTATATAAACGTTCAAAGTCTTCTAAGCAACATATTAATATTTTCTTTTTTCCATATCAAAAGTCTGAGATTGGAGATGGTGCAATTTGCTGGTATTGGATCAGTGACCCTAAAATAGCATTGTGAATGTCTCTGACACGGTGTAGGCCTTTCCCTCATGTTCACAAAATTGCTGCTATGAATCTGTGTTTCCTCCTCCAGTTCAGGCTGAGATCTCAAGTACTTTGTGCAACCTTACACAGGCGTGGAAGAAGGTGGTTTGAATGGGGTAGCTGGGGCTAGGTACACCAACCTGCAGCATTTGTAAAGTGAAGAGTAGTGATCCTGGCTCTACACTTCATATTTTACTCCAAATAAATTTCAGAAAGACAAACCAAAAAGTACTAAAAGAAAACTTGATGGTTAAAAAAAAAAAACAAAAAAAACAAAAACTGAGTGTTAGAGACCTTGCTAAATAAAACACAACTACCAGGTATCATAAGAGGAAAGACTGTTAAATTTAATTACATAAGATTCTACCCACAATACAGTAAAAGAGACTGGACTTATCCTCCCATCTGAAAAACTAGACATGATCTATAAATCAACACTTTTCTGAACACTAGAATCAGGCAACAATGTACAGTGATCCTGAGAAATAGGAAACAAAGTAGTCAAGCTAAGTTTCTCCAAAGGTGAAATTAGACAGTATTTTAACTGCATGAAAATAAAAATAAAACATATTAGAATTTGTGGGAGGTTGCTAAATAAGTACTTCATGGGATTACAAAGGAGGATGATGAAATTTTTAGACTTTGTTCCCTATCGTGATGTAAATAATGGTATAACAGGGATAGTCTTGAGTTAAAATTTATCGAAGCATATAGTTTATGTACAGTTTATTTTGTGTCAGCTACATCTCAATAAAGCTATTTCTCAAAAGCTCAAAATTTTGAATAAATGTGTTAATTATGCCTAAATAAATTTGTGAACAAAACATCTTTTAATTACGTCAGGCAAAAGAAAGAAATAAAAGGCATCCAAATTGAAAAAGAAGTTAATTCTCTGCTGATGATATGATCTTATACTTAGAAAAGCCTAAAGACTCCTCCACAAGGCTCCTAGATTTGATTAATGAATTCAGTAAAGTTTCAGCATACAAAATCTGTAGCATTTCTATGCACCAATAACAATCAAGCTGAGAAACAAATCAGGAAGTCAATCCCATTTACAATAGCTACAAAAAATATATATACCTAGGCATACACTTAATCAAGGGGGTGAAGGATCTACACAAGGAACACTACAAAACACTGATAAAATAAATTTTAGATAACCCAAAAAAATGAACCAACATTTCACACTCATAGATTGGAAGAATCAATATTATTAAAATGATCATACTGCCCGAGGCAATTTCCAGATTCAATGCAATCCCTATCAAAATACCAGTGTCACTTATTTATTTATTTTTGTTTTGTTTTGTTTTGGGGGAACAAGTGGTTTCTGGTTACATGGATAAGGCCTTTAGTGGTAATTTCCAATATTTTGGTGCACCCATCACCTGAGCAGTGTACACGGTACCTAATGTGTAGTATTTTATCCCTCACCCCTCTCCTACCCTTCCCTCTAATTCGCCAAAGTTCATTATATCATTCTTATGCCTTTGTGTCCTCATAGCTTAGCTCCCAATTATAAGTGAGAACATATGATATTTGGTCTTTTTTACCTGAGTTACTTCATTTAGAATAATGGTCTTCAACTCCATCCAGGTTGCTGCAGATGCCATTATTTTGTTCCTTTTTATATCTGAGTAGTATTCTATGGTGTATATATACCACATTTTATTTATCCACTCATTGGTTGCTGGGCATTTAGGCTGGTTCCATATTTTTGCAATTGTGAATTGTACTGCTGTAAACATGTGTGCAAGGCCTTTTTCATATAATGACTTCTTTTCTTCTGGGTAGATACCCAGTAGTGAGACTTCTGGATGAAGTGGTAGTTCTACTTTTAGTTCTTTAAGGAATTTCTATACTGTTTTCCATAGTGGTTGTACTAGTGTACATTCTCACCAGCAGTGTAAAAGTGTTTGCTTTTTACCATTTACGTGCCAACATCTATTAGTTTTTGATTTTTAAATTATGGCTATTCTTGCAGGAGTAAGGTGGTATCTCATTGATTTGCATTTCCCTGATAATTAGAGATGTTTAGCATTTTTTCATATGTTTCTTGGCTATTTGTATATCTTCTTTTGAGAATTGTCTATTCATGTCCTTTGCCCACTTTTTGATGGGATTATTTGTGTTTTTCTTGCTGATTTGTTTGAGTTCCTTGTAGAGTCTGGACATTAGTCTTTTATCAGATGCATAGTTTGCAAATGTTTTCTCCCACTCTGTGGGCTGTCTGTTTACTCTGCTGATTATTTCTTTCTCTGTGCAGAAGCTTTTTAGTTTAATTAGGTGCCATCTATTTATTTTTGTTTTTGTTGTATTTGCTTTTGGGTTCTTGGTCATGAACTCTTGGCATAAGCCAATGTCTAGAGGAGTTTTTCCAATGTTATCTTTTAGAATTTTTATAGTTTCAGATCTTAAAGTTTTTCATCCATCTTGAGTTGACATTTGTATAGGGTGAGAGATGAGGATCCAGTTTCATTCTTTTCTCTTTTTTTGAGATGGTATTTCGCCCTTGTTGCCCAGGCTGGAGTGCAATGGCATGATCTCTGCTCACTGCAAGCTCCATTTCTGAGTTCCAGCAATTATCTCGCCTCAGCCTCCAAAGCAGCTGGGATTACGGGCCCCCGCCACCACACCCAGCTAATTTTTGTATTTTTAGTAGAGATGGGCCAACACCCACCATGTTGGCCAGGCTGGTCCCAAACTCCTGATCTCAGGTATCCACCTGCCTCAGCCTCTCAAACCACTGGGATTACAGGCATGAGCTACCACGCCCCTAGGGTAACTTGTTCCGTTAGTCAAATTATTGGATCAATTGTACGTGGTAACTCGTTTTGACTGGTGAAGTCTCAGCATATGTTGCTCGGAGGTTGGGTTATACTCCGAGGTCGCCCCAGCCGAAATTTTTAATGCAGGTTTGGTAGGTTAGAGCCTGTGGGCTTATTGGGTGTTGTTTGCATTGGTAAATTGAAGCTCCATATGGTCTTCTCGTCTTGTTGTATTATGTCCGCCTCTTCACGGGCAGGTCAGTTGCAGTGGTTGAAAGTAAGAGACAGCTGAAACCTCGTCGAGCCATTCATACAAGTCCCTATTTAAGGAACAAGTGATCATGCTACCTTTGCACGGTTAGGGTACCACGGCCGTTAAACATATGTCACTGGGCAGGCGGTGCCTCTAATACTGGTAATGCTAGAGGTGATGTTTTTGGTAAACAGGCGGGGTAAGATTTGCCGAGTTCCTTTTACTTTTTTTAACCTTTCCTTGTGGGCATGCCTGTGTTGGGTTAACAGTAGGAGTAATACAGTTTCATTTTTTTACATATGGCTTGCTAATTATCCCAGCACCATTTGTTGAATAGGGTGTCCTTTACCCACTTTATGTTTTTGTTTACTTTGTCAAAGATCAGTTGGCTGTAAGTATTTGGCATCATTTCTGGCTTCTCTATTGTGTTCCATTGGTCTATGTGTCTTTTTTAATACCAGCACTGTTCTGTTTTGTAAACTAGTTAGTATAGTTAGAAGTTGAGTAATGTGATACTTCCAGGTTTGTTCTTTTTGCTTAGTCTTGCTTTGGCTATGCAGGCTCTTTTACTTTTACTTTTTTTTTTTTTTCCTGAGACAGAGTTTCGCTCTTGTTGCCCAGGCTGGAGTGCAGTGGCGCAATCTCAGCTCACTGCAACCTCCACCTCCTGAGTTCAAGTAATTCTCCTGCCTCAGCTTCCCAAGTAGCTGGGATTGCAGGCATGCATCACCACAGCAGGCTAATTTTGTATTTTTAGTAGAGACAGGGTTTCTCCATGTTGGTTAGGCTGATCTCAAACTCCTGAACTCAGGTGATCCGCCTGCCTTGGCCTCCAAAAGTGTTGGGATTACAGGTGTGAGCCACCATGCCCAGCTTGGCTCTTTTATGGTTCCATATCAATTTTAAGTTGTTTCTTTTTTTTCTAGTTCTGTGAAGAATGATGATGGGCATACTTTGATGGTATTGCAGTGAATCTGTGTATTGCTTTTGGCAGTATGGTCATTTTCATAATATTGATTCTACCCATCCATGAGCATGGAATGTGTTTCCATTTGTTTGTGTCATTTATGCTTTCTTTCAGCAGTGTTTTGTAGTTTTCCTTGTAGAGATCTTTTACTTCCTTAGTTAAGTATATTCCTAAGTATTTTATTTTTTTGCAGCTGTTGTAAAAGGGATTGAGTTCTTGATTTGTTTCTCAGCTTCATCATTGTTGGTGTACAGCAGTGCTACTGACTTGTGTACATTGATTTTGTATCCTGAAACTTTACTGAATTTATTTATCAGATCTAGGAGCTTTTTGGCTGAGTCTTTAGGGTTTTCTAGGTACACAATCATATAAATAGCAAACAGCGACAGTTTGACTTTGTCTTTACCAATTTGAATGCCCTTTATTTCTTTGTTTTGTCTGATTACTCTGGCTAGGACTTCCAGTACTATGTTGAATAGAAGTGGTGAAAGTGGGCATCCTTGTCTTGTTCCAGTTTTCAAGGGGAATGCTTTCAAGTTTTCCCTGTTTAATGTAATGTTGGCTGTGGGTTTTTCATAGATGGCTTTTATTACCTTGAGGTATGTCCCTTCTGTGCCAATTTTGCTGAGGGCTTTAATCATAAAGGTATACTGGATTTTATCAAATGCTTTTTCTGTATCTATTAAAATGATCATGACTTTTACTTTTAATTCTGTTTATGTGGTCTATCACATTTATTGACTTGCATATGTTAAACCATCGCTGCATCCCTGTTATGAAACTCACTTGATCTTGATGTATTATCTTTTTGATATGCTTTTGGATTTGGTTAGCTAGTATTTTTGTGAGGATTTTTGCATCTGTATTCATCAGGGATATTGATATGTAGTTTTTTTTGTTTGTTTGTTATGTCTTTTCCTGGTTTTGTATTTGGGTGATACTGGCTCTATAGAATTATTCAGGGGAGATTCCCTCTTTATCTTTTGAAATAATTTCAGTAAGATTGGTACTGATTCTTCTTTGAATGTCTCATTGAATTTAGCTGTGCATCCATCTGGTCCTGAACTTTTATTTGTTGGCAATTGTTTTTATTACTGATTCAATCTCGCTACTTGTTATATGTTTGTTCAGATTTTTTTATTTCTTCCTTATTTAATCTAGGAGAGTTGGATATTTCCAGGAATTTATCTGCATCTTCTAGATTTTCTAGTTTGTGCTCATAAAGGTGTTTGTAGTAGCCTTGGACAATCCGTTTGTATTTCTGTGATATCAGTTTTAATATCTCCCATTTCATTTCTAACTGAGCTTATTTGGATCTTCTCTCTTCTTTGTTTGGTTAATATTTCTGATGATCTATCAATTTGGTATATCTTCTCAAAGAACCAGCTTTTTATTTCATTTATCTTTTGTATTTTTTGTTGTTTCAATGTCATTTAGTTCTGAATTTATCTTTGTTAAATTTTTTCTTCTGCTGATTTGGGTTTGGTTTCTTTTTGTTTCTCTAATTCCTTGAGATGTGACCTTACACTATCTATTTACACTCTTTCAGCTTTTTGATGTAAGAATGTAATATTATTAACTTTCTTCTTAGTACTGCTTTTGTACAATGTATGCTGTCTCCCAGAGGTTTTGCATGTGTTTGTATATTTTGAGAGTTCCTTTTGGGGTTAATTTCCAGTTTTATTCCACTGTGGTCTGAGAGGATACTTGATATAATTTCAATTTTCTTAAATTTATTGAGACTTGTCTTGTGACCTATTATATGGTGTATCTTGGAGAATGTTCCCTGTACTGAAGAAAAGAATGTGTATTTTGCAGTTGTAGGGTCAAGTGTTCTGTAAACGTCTGTTAAGTCCATTTTTTTCTAGGGTATAGTTTCAGTCCATTGTTTATTGACTTTCTGTCTAGATGAACTATTGCTGTCAGTGGAATATCAAAGTCCCTTGTTATTATTGCATTGCCATTTATTTCATTTATTAGGTCTAGTAGTAATTGTTTTATTAATCTGAGACCTCCAGTATTAGGTGCATATATATTTAGATTGTGATCTTTTCCTGTTGAACTAAACCTTTTATCATTATATAATGTCCCTTTTTGTCTTTTTTACAGTTGTTGCTGTAAAGTCTGTTTTGTGTGATATAAGAATAGCTACTTCTGCATGCTTTAGGTTTCCATTTGCATGGAATATCTTTTTCCACCCCTTTACCATAAGTTTATGTGAGTCATTATATATTAGGCGAGTCTCTTGGAGACAGCAGGTACTTGGTTGATGGATTTTTATCTATTCTGCCATTCTGTATCTTTTAAGTGGCTCATTTAGGCCATTTATATTCAATGTTTGTATTGAGATGTGAGGTACTGTTGTGTTCATCATGCTAGTTGTTGCCTTAATACCTTGTTTTTTTTTCATTGTGTTATTATTTTATAGGCCCTGTGAGACATATGCTTTAAGAAGATTCTATTTTGGTGTATTTTAAGGTTTTGTATCAAGATATAGAACTCCTGTTACCAGTTCTTGTATGCTTTTGGTAGTGGTGAACTCTTCAGCATTTGTTTGTCTGAAAAAGGCTTTATCTCTCCTTTGTTTATGAAGCTTAGTTTTTCTGGATACAAAAGTCTTGGCGGACAATTATTTTGTTTTAGGAAGCTAAAGATGGGACCCCAATCCCTTCTGAGCTGTAAAGTTTCTGCAGAGAAATCTGCTGTTTATCTGATAGGTTTTCCTCTATAGGTTATCTGATACTTTTGTCTCACAGCTCTTAAATTATTTCCTTCATCTTGACTTTAGATAACTTGATGACTATGTGCCTGGGTGATGATTTTTTTCCGATGAATTTGCCAGGTGTTCTTTGAGCTTCTTGTATTTAGATGATGTCTAGATTTCTTACAAGGTCAAAGAAGTTTTCCTCAATCATTCCCTCAAATAAGTTTTTCAAACTTTAAGATTTCTCTTCTTTTTCAGGAACAACAGTTATTCTTAGGTTTGGCCATTTAACATAATCCAAAATTTCTTGGAGGCTTTGTTTTTTAAAATTCTTTCTTCTTTGTTTTTGTCTGACTGGCTTAATTTAAAAACCTTGTCTTTGAGCTCTGAATTTCTTTCTTCTACTTGTTCTAGTCTATTGCTAAAACTTTGCACTGTAATTTGTATTTCACTGAATGTGTCTTTCATTTCTGGAAGTTGTGATTGTTTTTCTTTTCTATTTCTCTGGAGAATTTTCATCCATATCCTGTATTGATTTTTAAATTTCATTAAGTTGGATTTCACCTTTCTCTGGGATCTCCTTGAGTACCTTATTAATCAACTTTCTGAATTCTTTATCTAGAACTACAGAGATTTCTTCTTGGTTTGGAACCATTGCTGAAGATCTAGTGTGATCTGTTGGGTGTGCTATAAAACCCTGTTTTGTCATAATACCAGAATTACTTTTCTAGTTCCTTATCATTTGGGTAGACTATTTCAGTGGAAAGGTCTGGAACTCAAGGCCTGCTGTTCATATTCTTTTGTCTCATGGGGTAATTCCTTGGCATGGTGTTCTCGTCTTTCCCCTAGGGATGGGACTTCCCAGGAGCCAGACTACAATGATTGTTATTGTTCTTTTGAATCTAGCCACCCAGCCAGGCTACCAGGCTCTGGGCTGATGCTGCAGAATGTCTGTGAAGAGTTCTGTAATGAGATCTGTCTTCAGGTCTTCTAGCTGTAGATACCAGCACCTGCTCTGGTGGAGGTGCTAGGAGAGTGCCATGGACTCTGTGGAAGTCTTTGGTTGTAGATATGTTTAGTGTGCTGGCTTCCTTGAATGCTGGTTATGCTAGCTGTGAAGTTGTCGCATGGACCTCTGATTAGCCAGGATGTTGCAGGCAGTGGAATTAGCTGTTGATTTCTCTTTTCTGGGATCAGGGTTAGTCTGTCATGAGTTGCTATAATGGCCTGAGTTGACTGGCCTCCAGCCAGGAGGTGGCATTTTAAAGAGAGCACCAGCTGCAGCAGAAATAGGGGGATCTAAGCTTGCTCTAATTTTTCCAGTGTAAGTATTTTAGCTTCTCAGGTGATGGGCAGGGCCATAAAGCCCCTAAGAGAGTCTATCTTTTGTGTTTGGCTACAAGGGTGGGTAGAAAAACACCATCAGCTGGGGTCAAGATTAGGAGGGTCTGGGCTCAGACTTTCCTTGGGCAGGGCTTATTGTTGCCACTGTGGGGAACGGGAGGGTGGTTCTCAGACCCATGGAGTTATGTTCCAGAGGGGATTTTGGCTGCCTTTGCTGTGCCAGGGAAGTGAGGGATAGCCAGTAGCGAGAGGCCTCACCCAGCTCCCATGCAGTTGTTGAGGCTAGTCTCACTCCCACAGTGCCCCAATCAGACCCTGCCCCATGCCATGAGCTTCCCTTCCAAGAAAGCAAGCATGGCTTTTGGACCTCACACTTCCCCATATGCCCACTCTGTCAGCAGCAACTCCTATGCTTATATCTGCAGTAGTTCCCATTTTCTCCCCAGATTCTGCTCAAGAAAATTCATGCTCAGTCAAAATTGTTACTAATTTCAGTTGGAAGATTCTTTTGCCCTCTGACCCCCTTTCTAGTTACCCTTGCTGCCTTCCCTGAGGGCCCCTGTGAGAGATAGTCAGGGATGGCTTCCCTGGGCTTGAGCTGGAGACTGGGAGTGCCTGTAAGGCACTTTCCACTGCTGCTTCTACTTTTATATTTCACACAGCTCCCTAAATCCATGTAAGATCTAGGTAAGGTACAAATCCTTCTCCTGTGATGTGGATTTTCAGATTCTCCAGTGAGATGTATGTTCAAAGTCAGGTTTCCCACTCTCACATTTTGGGAAGTCACAGTTTTTCACCTGCCTTGTAGAATTTGCAGTAACATTCAAAGGATCTGTGATTTTTTTCTGTTTTCTTGGTATGTTCCTACTGTGGTTCTTGGACAAAAGTTCATACTGTGAGTCTCCACATGCTGTTCTGTTCATCCAAGTCAGAGCTGCATATTAGCCCTGTCTCTTATCTGCTGTCTTAACACACCCTCTCACCAGTGTCATTATTCATAGTTAGAAAAAAACATCCTAAAATTCATATGGAACTTAAAGAGAGCCTGAGCAGCCAAAGAAATCTTAAACAAAAAGAATGAAGTGGAAGGCATCACTTTACTTGTCTTCAAATTATCATCCAAGGCTATAGTACCCAAAACAACAAAGTACTGGCATAAAAACAGACACATAAATCAATGGAACAGATTAGAGAACCCAGAAATAAAGCCACAAATATACAGCCAACTGATATTTGATAAAATCAACAAAAATATACACTGAAGAGAGGACACTTTATTCAATAAATAGTGCTTGGAAAAATTGGATAGCCACATGCAGAAGAATGACATTGGACCTGTATCTCTCTATATATACAAAAATTAACTCAAGATGAATTAAAGACTTATATTTAAGACATGAAACTACAAAATGATGGAAGAAAACATGGAAAAAAATTCTGAATAGATAAAAAAATTTGAATTCTGAATCATCCCTGGCGATCACAGCTAGATCACCCTCACATCCAAAAAGGCTACTATATTAATGTATTGGATGTACTAAGGCTTGGTTTCATAGATTAAAAAAGAAAAGATGAAGAAAGAAAGAGGTAGAAAAAGAGAAAGGGAAAGAGAGAGTATTGTGTCAGGGAAGAGCAGGGAAGAGAAGGAGGGAGAGAGGAAGAAGAAGAAAGGGGAAAGGAGGGAGAGAAAGAAAAAAATCCTTTTTTTTGTTTGTTTGTTTTGTTTTAAGACAAGGTCTCTGTTTGTTGCCCAAGCTAGTGTGCAGTGGCACGAACACCTCTCATTGCAGGCGCAAACTCCCAGGCTCAAGTGATCCTTCTGCCTCAGCCTCCAGAGTAGCTAAGACCACAGGTGCACACCACCATGCCTGGCTAATTTTTTATTTTTACTTTTTTTGTAGAGACAGGGTCTTGCCTTGTTGCTGAGGCTGGTCTCAAACGAATAGGCTGAAGCAATACTGCTTCAACCACCTAAACAGTCTAAGATGTATTTTACATTTATCTTTGTGACCAAGACAGCCTTAATGTTCCCCCTCACCTTGACTAAACTTTAGATCTAGGACCTTCTTGAATATAGGCCCTTGGCCTCCCTTTTCTTAGGACATTTACTTTAGAAAACTTGCAGCTGTAAATTCTTTTTTTTCCCCCTTTGAGATATAAATCTTCCACAACCCAGAAATATCTTTCTCAAGAACATGGGATCCATCCTTTTGAAATGTAATCATTGAAACAGATAGCATCCTTGTCTCTCAGTCTGTATGGTAGAGTAGGAGCTAATTTCAATAAGAGATAACTAGCAAACACAGATGGCCAAATCACATTCCCCAGCCTTCTCCCTGAAGTCCTCTAGTAATGTCCCATTAGCTCATTCCAGCATTTAAAAATCTTGCTGACTTTTGTTTCAGTAGAGTTGGGTTCAGTCTTTCTTCCCTATTGCATTAGTCTTAAAGAAAGTCTTTCTTGACTGTTTTGGTTTGAGCTGGTTTGATGTAATTTTTCTTTTACATTGCCATTACTCTTAGTTTAGGACATCTTTGATGCATACTCTAAGAAGTGAGTGTCAGCACCCATTTACTTCCCTTGGATCTGTGGCCCTTAGATCCCTGAATAAATTATTGAAAACATAGTTTGATTGGCTCAAAAAAAGAGCGAACGTTTTTTAAAGTTATGGAAACCACCTTTGCAAAATTTAAAACTGAGGAAATTATGACAGTGAAAGAGATCAGACCTAACATATTCTATCTTGCTTCTAACCTTTAAGCTCTCCTTTTTCATTCCTGGGCGTAGGTCAAACTAACCTTGGGAAGGTATTCATTATGTGTGGTGATTACATCATGATTACATAATAATTATAAATGTTTATGGGGTACATGTGATATTTTGATACAAGAAAGAATGTGTAATGATCAAATCAGGGTAATTGGGATATCTAATACTTTAAACATTAATCATTTGTTTGTGTTGGGAACATTCCAAATGCATTCCTTCAGTTATTTTAAAATACATTATGCATTATTGTTAACTATAATCATTCCTATTGTGCTACAGAACACTAGTTCTCACTCCTACTATCTAACTGTAATTTTTGTACACATTAGCCAACCTCTCTTTATCCTCGCCTCCCCACTGCACTTCTCAGCCTCTGGTAACCATCATTCTATTCTCACCTCCATGAGATCAAGTTTTTTAGCTCCCACATGTTAGTGAGAACATGAGATATTTGTCTTTCTATGTCTGGCTTATTTTACAATGAAACATCCTTCAGTTCCATCCATGGCATTGTGAATGACTGGATTTTTTTTGTATGGCTGCATAATATTCCATTGCATACACACACATGCACACACACACACACACACACACACACACCACATTTTCTTTACCCATACATCTGTTGATGGACACAGATTTATTTCAAATATTTTAGCTATTGTGTATAGTGCTGCAATAAACATGAGAGTGTAGATATCTCTTCAATATACTGATTTCCTTGCTTTTGGATATATACCCAGCAGTGAGATTTCTGAATCACAAAGTAGTTCTATTTTTAGTTTTCTGAGGAAATTTCATACTGTTTTCTTTGAATCTTCATACTGTTTTCCCTGTGTTATAAAAATGTGTATAAACATTTTATACAATAGTCTCCCACATTTACATTCCCACCAACAGGGTACAAGCATTCTCCTTTCTTTACATCCTCACCAACATTCATTATTTTTTGATAAAGGGCATCTTAACTGGGGTAAAATAATATCTCATTGTGGATTGATTTGCATTTCTCTGATTATTAGTGATGTTGAGCATTTTTGCATATTCCTGTTGGCTATTTGTATGTCTTCTTTTGAAAAGCATCTATTTAGACCTTTTGCCCATTTACAAATTAAATTATTTGTTTTTTTGCTATTGAGTTGTTTGAGTTGCTTTTATATCCTGGTTTTTATCCCTTGTCAGTTGAATACTTCTAAATATTTTCTGTCATTTTGTAGGTTGTCTTTCCAGTTTGTTGATTGTTTTCTTTGTTGTGCAGAAGCTTTATAGCTTGATGTAATCCCATTTGTCCATTTTTGCTTTGATTGCCTGTGCTTTTGCTGTCTTACTCAAGAAATCATTTGCCACATCAATGTCCTAAGCATTTCCCCAATGTTTTCTTCTCATAGTTTCATGGTTTCAGGTCTTACATTTAAGTCTTTAATCCATTTTATTTTATATTTGTATACGGTGAGACATAGGGGTCTAGTTTCATTCTTCTGAATTTGGATATCCAGTTTTCCTAGCACCATTTGTTGAAAAGACTGTCCCTTCCCTTAATGTGTGTTCTTGGCACCTTTGTTGAAAATGAATTTATTGTATATCTGTGAATTTATTTCTGGGTTTGACTGTAAATGTGTAAATTTATTTCTTTATTCTGTCTCATTGGTCTGTATGTCTATTTTAATGCCAGCACCATACTATTTTGGTTACTAAACTCTGTAGTATAATTTGAAGTCAGGTAATATGATATTTCCATCTTTGTTCTTTTTGCTGAGGATTGCTTTGGCCATTAAGAATGGGACCTTTTTTTGTCTACATAATATTTATGAGAGACAAGCCTGACCTAGAAAGGGAAAATGTCAGGGCCAACTGAGAGCCACTATTCAATACTGAAACATTTTACACAATAATGCCCTATCTCCAGCTCCACAGCCTCCCTGTCCTTAATAAATGAGCAACAGAGGCAGGAGTGGATATTTCTTGCTTCTGTCTTGTAGTTCTGTTTTTTCATTCTCTCGGATATTGATACTATCCTCAACTTTACATTTATGCTTTGGAAGATACCAGATCACCTTCATTTTATATAAAGGAGGGAGGTACTCACCAGAGAACCATAAAATGCTATAGACAAACAATGACTTACGACAACAAAAGAAGCAAAAGGGAAGCTATTATGTAAATGTGGGCCATGTAAAGCTGGCCCCACCTGGAGGAGCTAACATAAATCATTATTTTAAAAAACAAGAAAAGTTGAAAAATTATTTCTGGATTTCTGCCCAGTTTGTTCTAATTCTGTTTGAATATTAAGGTTTCTGAAGGACAGAAACATTACCTTCTACTACCTTTATAGTATTCAGAACACTTCATGAAAGCATGTGGTAGATGCTTAATAAAATGCCCATTAAATTGAACTTAAATGAATTGCCATGCTTGTTAAAGCTAGAGAGAAGAAGTAGCTGATTAGTGCTTTTTAAGATTTTGAGAAAAATTTGTTTTCTGCATGGCTGAGGCATTTAACAGAGACAACTACTTGTTTTCTCCAAACTGACGATCTTGTGGCAGTAATCACAGAGATACACAAAATCCTTCTTCTTGACCAGAATATGATGAGTATTACATGAAAACTAAGATGGACTACTGGCACTAATAAACTGTCCAAGGTCATAAGCGGACTCTCATTCCTCTATTGCTGCATGTTTTAAAACTTTAACTTGTATAATGGAGAAGCAAACTTTATTTAAGTGCAAATGACCTTCAAAACACTTTTTCACACACTGCAGTGAGCTTTTTTGTTTAACTATCTTATCCTCTCTCAGGCTCTAACGTCGCTGTATAATGTACTTTCTATGACTAGATCTCAACAATAATATCTTTAGAATATATCTTAATGACTACACATTTTGTATAAAAAGTGCAACTACAGGACTGATAAAAAGGATGCCTTTCAGGAGGTAAAAAGGGCTGTGACTAAAATTGCCCTTGATTCCTATAAATCCATATTCCATCGACTGTGACTCTTATTTGTAATGCCTGTACCTTGTTTCTATTCATTAATAAGCTAAATTGTTCCTATCAATATTACCATTAGTAGAGTAAAGGTCAGCAATCAGTTAAAATTCAACCCAAGATTAGGAATTAATGTTTACCTCTTAAAACAGAAATCTCTGTAAGGCAATAATTAGAGAACGTCAGAAGGTATTCTTTTTATACCTAAAATTAAGGAGGTTTAAAACCTTCTAACTCAGGAGTATAGATAAGATGTGATTTCATAGATGGTCTTTCCAAATACATTCTTACTGAAAGCAGAACTTCCCAAGGACCTCATATTTGCATACTAGTAGCAGGGAAATTGACATGACAAAAGCAATAAAATGTAGTTGAGAACGTGATATTTTTAAGACTTGATTTTGAGCAATTTCGGACCAAACCTGAAAACACTAAATACTTATTAGTGTTGATACCAGAAAGTCTTGAAGAAACTGGTAGAGGAGAAAGATAGCTGGGGAACCAGTGTTAGGGAAATATAATTAAAAACAATATCTTCTCCTAACTTGGAAATCTTCTTGACAAAGGTGGTGATAGGAAGCACTCTTATTATTGAATAAGCATTAAGCCAGTATGTTCTGCACAGGTAATCCACTAAAATGCAAAAACAGAAGGAAATCTTTCCCTTTGAAATAGCCAAACAGATATAACGCATTATATACATGTTTTTAAAATAGATAACAACTCATCCTCATGTAAGAGGACTTGACAGCATTTGTCAAAAATAATTTATAAAAACTTTAACACATAATTGGAGTAACCATCTGTGTTAGCTATGTGGCTTTATCCAGAGGAAAAACAAACTTCACATACTTTCATTACAGGAGATAGTTTCGTGTTTTGGACCAAGGTACCCTCAAAGTTAGGTTTCTGCTCTCCCACAGTGATTGGAAGATGGGGGTTCTATCTTCCTTGATGTTTGCATTTCAAATAATTGACTCTGAGGTCCCTAAGAAAGACATTTCTAGGCCATAGTACTGACAAAAGGCCTATCTGGTTTCCTAAAGGATTTATATACATTTCAAAGAGAGAATAAAGTACTTACAAAGTTTTAAAGAGTAAAAACTCTAAGAAAAAGGGGGAAAGGAAAACCTCTTCCCTTCTTTTCAACAGGGAGAATTCACCCTCTTATTTTTAATATGTATTAGTCTTTATACTAGAAGCATATACATGAAACCAGCCAACACTTGAGGACCACCCTGTGAGAAGATCCCTAAAGGATCATAACAGAGATATTCCCTTGGAAACTCTTGGTTGCATAACTTACCAAAGTCCAAATTAGATAACATTGAGTTCCCTCCCTGATTTTGCCTCTCAGGCTAGAGTAGTCTCTGATCTTGCATGAAGTTAGGATAAACATCACATCTTCACAGACTGTCGATTTTCCTAGATGATTTGAGAAAAGTTTTGAATTTTTATGATATTTTTGCCCTACATATATGCAAGAAAAATTAACTGAATATATGATGTCAAATTATGTTGTCAGAATTTTATGTCATTATGAGGTAAACAGTGTGAAAATTTTCCTAGAGTTGGTTAAACATGGTCATTTGGCCATTTTTTTGGTTTATAGTGATTTTATCTGTGAAGACATATGTGAAGCAGCCAAGAAATAACTGGAAGTATTGTTTTGGCAAAAGAAGTGACTAGCAAATATCTTGGTATCTAAGTGGCTAGAGAGTAGGCTGTTGGGAGTGGGGAGGGAAGAGATATAGATTTGCATAAAATGAAGACCAAATATGTGGTAGGCAAAATTGTGGATTGGTAGACTGACTCAAAACTACTATTCTGTCTTTCTGGACCTATCCTGGGCCAGAGAGGAGCCCACTGCCCTGAGGGGTAAGTACCAAGTCTGGCAGCATTCACCACAAGCTGACCGAAGAGTCTTTTGGCCTTAAGTGAACATCAGTGATACCATGGCAATACTCTCATGTGTCTGTTGTGGGGGTGACCATGGGGAGAAGCTCCTCTCCCTGTGGAAAGGGAAGGAAAGAGTGGGAAGAAATTCATCTTGTGGTTTGGGTACCAGCTAAGCTGCAGTAGAATAGAACACCAAGTAGGTACCTAAGGTTTCTTACTATAGGTCCTGGCTCCCAGACAGCATCTCTGAACTTGCCTGTGGCCCAGGAAAACTCACTGCCCTTCGTAGAAGGACCTACTGATTTTTAAGCCATAGGGCTTTAAGAGAACACAGGCAGTAGCCAGGTAGTAGATACAGTGGGCTTTGGGTAAGATTCAGTACTGTAATAGCTTCAGGTCTGACTCAGTGGAGTCACAGTGATGGTAGCCACAGGGGTGCTTGTGGCATTCCTCCCTAAGTTTCAGGCAGCTCAGGAGAGAGACAGAGTGAGAGACAGAAACAGAGAAGGAGAGAGAGAGAGAGAGTCTCCATTTATTTGAAAGAAAGTAAGGGAAGAGAAGACAAGTCTCTAATTGGTAATCCAGAGAATTCTTCTAGATCTTATTAAAGGCTGCCATGGTGAGACTTCTTTGAGTCTGCAAGAGACACGTCGGTACTGGGTTTGGGGTGCCTACCTAATACAGATAAGAATGCAGTGCCCAAAAACTTAGATCACAGCACCCAAGTACCTGTGAATACCTGAAAAGCTTTCCTAAGAAGGAGGGGTACAAACAAGCTCAGATTGCAAAGACTAAAATAGGTACCTAACTCTTCAATACCCAGACACTGAAGAACATGTACTAGCATCAACACCATCCAGGAAAACATGTTCTCAGCAAATGAACTTAATAAAGCATGAGAGACAATCCAAGACAGACAGAGATAAGTGACCTTTCAGAAAGAGAATTCAAAATAGCTATGTTAAGAAAACTTAATGAAATTCGAGATACCATAGAGAAGGAATTCCGAATTCTATCAGAGAAATGTAGCAAAGAGATTGAAAACACTAAAAAGAATCAAGCAGAATTTCTTGATCTGAAAAATGCAATTGGAATACTGAAGAATGCATCAGAGTCCTTTAACAGCAGAATGAATTAAAAAGAAGAAATAATTAGTGAGCTTAAGAACAGGATATTTGAAAATAACACAGTCAGAGGAAATGAAAGTTAAAAAAATGAAAAAGAATGAAGCATGCCTACAAGATATAGAAAATAGCCTCAAAGGAGTAAACCTAAGAGTTGTTGGACTTAAGGAGAAGGTAGGGAGATAGGGGTAGGAAGTTTATTCAAAAGGATAACAGCAGAACTTCCCAAACCTAGAAGAAGTTATCAGTATTCCAGTACAAGGAAGTTGATTGGACACCAATCAGACTACACCCAAAGAAGACTATTTCAAGGCCTTTAATTATTAATCTTCTAAAGGTCAAAGTTAAAGAAAGGATCGTTGATTTTTTAACAAGAGTAAAAAAACAAATAACATATAATGGAGCTCCAATATGTCTAACAGCAAACTTTTCAGTGGGAATTTTCAGGCTGTGAAAGAGTGGCATGACATATTTAATATGCTGAAGGAAAAACCTTACCCTAAAATAGCCTATTTAATCAAAATATACTTCAAACATGAAGGAGAAATAAAGATTTGCCCAAGCAAAAGCTGAGGGATTTTATTAATACCACACATGTCCTACAAGAAATGCTAAATGGAGTTATTCAGTCTGAAAAAAGGGATGTTAATGAGCAATAAGAAATCATCTGAAAATACAAAATTCACTGTTAACTGTAAACACAGAAAAACAAAGAATGTTATAACATTGAAATTGTGGTATGTAAACTGCTCATATGTTATGCAGAAAGACTAAAAGATGAACCAATCAAAAAAATAACTACAACAACTTTTCAAGACGTAGTGCAATCAGATATGAAGAGAAACAACAAAAAGTTTAAAAAGTTGGAGTTAAAGTGTAGAGTTTTTATAAGTTGTCTATTTGCTTGTTTCTTTGTTTATGCAATCAGTGTTATGTTGTCATGAGTTTAAAATAGTGGGTTATAAAATATTATTTGCAAGCTTCATGGTTACTTCAAATGAAAAAACATCCAATGAATACACAAGAAGTAACAAGCAAGAAATTAAAACATACCATCAGAGAAAATTACCTTCTTTAAAATGAAGACCAGAAAGAAGAGAAGACCACAAAATAACCAGAAAACAAATGACAAAATTGTAGGTGTAGGTCCTACCTTATTAGTAATAACATTGACTCTAAATAGACTGAACTCTCCAATTAAAAGACATAGACTGGCTGAATAGAAAAAAAAAAACCCAAACCCAATAATCTGTTGCCTACAAGAAACACAATTCACATATAAAAATATGCATACACTGGTAAGAAAAGGATGGAAAAAATATTCCATGACATGGAAACCCAGAAAGAGCAGGAGTTTCTATACTTATATCAGGCAAAATAGATTTCAAGACAAAAACTTTAGGAAAAGACAAAATAGTTCACTATATAATGATAAAAAATCAATTCAGCAAATGGATATAATGCTTGTAAATATATATGCATCCAACACTGCAGCACCCACATATATAAAACAAATATTAGAGCTAGTGAGAGAGAGAGAGAGACCCCATCATAAAAAGAACTGGAGACTTCAGCATCACACTTTCAGCACTGGACAGATCCACCAGACAGGAAGTCAACAAAAACACCACACTTAATCTACACTAAGACCAAATGGACCTAATAGATATTTACAAAACGTTTCAACCAATGGCTGCAGAACACATATTCCTTTCCTCAGCATATGACTCATTGTCAATGATAGACCATATGTTAGGCCCCAAAACCAAGCCTTAAACAATTCAAAAATAATGAAATTCTGTCAAGTAACTTCTCTGACCAAAATAAAATAATACGAGAAATCAGCAATAACAGAAATTTTGGAAACTATACAAACAAATGGAAATTAAAAATATACTCCTGAATAACCAGTTGGTCAAGGAAGAAATTAAGGAGAAACTTGAAAAATTTCTTGAAATAAATAATAATAGAAACACAACATACTAAAACCTATGAGATATAGCAAAAACAGATTTTTGTTTGTTTGTTGAGACAGGTTCTTGCTGTCACCTAGGCTGGACTGCAATGGTATAATCGTGGCTCACTGCAGCCTCAACATCCTGGGCTCAAGCTATCCTCCTATCTCAATCTCCCAAGTGGCTGGAACGATAGGCATGCACCACCATGTACAGCTAAATTTTTTGTAGTTTTTAGAGACAGGGTTTTGCCATGTTGCTCAGGCTGGTATCAAGCTCCTGGGCTCAAGCAACACACCTACCTCAGCTTCCCAAAGTGTTGGAATAACAGGTGTGAGCCACTGCACCCAGCCAAGGAAGTTTATGGCTATAAGCACCTACATCAAAAAAGTAAGAAAACTTCAAATAAACAACATAATGATTCATCTTAAACACCTAGAAAAGCAAGAACAAATCACACCCAAAAACAGAAGAAGAAAATAAATAATAAAGATCAGTGCATAAATAAATGAAATTGAAATAAAGGAAACAACACAAAAGGTCAATGAAACAAAAAGTTGTTTAAAAAAAAGATTAAAAATTTGATAACTCTTTAGCCAGACTAAGAAAGAGAAAAGACCCAAACATATAAGATCAGAAATTAGAAAGGAGACATTACAACTGATACAGCGTCAAAGGATCATTAGAGATTACTTGGAGCAACTGTATGACAATAAACTGGAAAATCTAGAAGAAATGGAAAAATTCCGAGACACATGTAACCTACCAAGTTTGAACCATGAGGATATGCAAAACCTCAACAGACCAATGACAAGTAAAGAGATCAAAGTTGTAATAAAAAGTCTCTCTGCAAAGGAAAGCCCAGGACCCAATAGCTTCACTGCTGAATTTTACCAAATTCAGTTGTTGTTAAAGAACAACTAATATCAATCCTGCTTACACTATTAAGAAAAATAGAGAAGAGAATACTTCCAAACTCACTCTATGAGGCTACTACTATTATCCTGATATCAAAACCAGACAAAGACACATCAAAAAAAGAAAACTACAGGCCAATAATCTTGATGAACATTGACACAAAAATTTTCAACAAAATACTAGCAAGGAGTGTTTTACTAAATAACAGAAAGGAAAGGCAATGAAAGCTTCCAGAAGTGTCCTACCATTCACAATGGAGATATTCAGGGAAAATATTATTGCTGTTTTACAGCCTTCTGTCTGACATGGCAGGAGAGACACTCTCTATATATATTCTATCTGTATTTCTGGACACTTTATTTCGCTTTCTTCATTATTGTTTTTATTTACTAGAAAAATTGGATGGGAACTTTATGCTATTATACTGTGATTAATGTAAGATAATATCTGTGAAGAGCATTACTAAACTACAAAATACTATAAAAAAGTATAAGCATATATAATGCAATATTATTATGCTCCTATTCTAAAACAAAATCCTGTGCTGGTGCACTAGTGTGAAGCAGTGGACTTCTAACTGCAGCTGCAGATCTCTGGGGTCCCAAGACTATTTCAGGTGGTACATGAGGGCAAAAGTATTTTTACCATAATATGACAATATTGTTTGCCTTTTTTATTGTGTTGGAACTTGCACTGATGGTGCAAAACTATAATGAATAAAACTGTTAACACCTCAGCATAAATAAAGCTGTTGGCAACAAACTTTATTGGTAGTCATTGAATTTTTCACCACTATGCACTCTCAGTAAAGCAAAAAAAAAAAAAAAAAAAAAAAAAAAAAATCTCAATTTCACTTACGGATGTCCTTGATAAATCAGTAACTATTATTAATTTTATTAAATATTGACCCTTTAGTACATGCCTTTTGAATATTCTGTATGAGAAAATGGAGGTGAGGAAGGCTTAAAGCACTTGTACCAGACACCAAAGTTCCCAGAACATCTTGAAGAAAAACACTGTGCTGTAAGCTGAATTAGGTTCTTTTTTGGTTAAACTCCATATTTTCCTGAAAGAAAAACACCATGCTGTAAGCTGAATTAGGTTCTTTTTTGGCTAAACTCCATATTTTCCTGAAAGAAAAACTGACAAACTATGGTTTTTGAGACTTGGGTATTTGGTAGGCATTTTCTCAAGAAGAATGAAGTGAGCCTATCACTTCAAAGAAGACAACTTAGAATGTCTTTGCCAATGAATGTATTTGAATTTTGGAGTAAAAATTAGAATTGTGAAAAACTTGTATTTGTCACCATAAGCTTGACTTCTTTCCCATTCTTATTGATTTTTTGGTGAGATCCAGAGTGATTAAAAAAATGTGATTTTTCTAGCATGGACATTGGCACCCCCGCCGCCACCCCTGCACTGCCATTGCCACCAGTGTGAATGCACGCATGGCCACCAGTAGCTCTGCCCCCTGCCCGATGCTGCTATCATCGCTGGTGTTAATGCACACACAAAGGTGGCCAGCACCATGCCCCTGCACTGCCACCACTGCAGGAGTGAATGCGCATGGACCCCAGTAGCTCTGTCTCCCTCCTCCATCCTGCACCTTGGTTGCTGCCACTGCCAATGCCCACATGGATGCAGGCAGCCCTAGGCCCACCAGTGGCCCCAGGTGACAAGAACTCATCCTGTAATGCTGCCACTGCAGCTGGCATGTGCAAACGAGCATGAACCCCACTGCCACTGCCCAATGAATTGCTTTGGCTAACACTGTCCTTTAGAGTGTTGTGGCGAGTGATCCAGGAAAACCTTGGCCTCTCCAGCACAGCAGGTTCCCAACCTCAGTGGGCCAGAGAAGAAAGCTGGGGGCCAGATAACAGGCCCCCAAGTTAAAGCATATAGCCCAGGAGTGTTGATCTGAGCCTTGCCCTCCAAAAAACAATCTACCAGAAGTGAAGCCAGTCAACTGAACCCACCTTATGCGACAATCAAACCCCTAAGGGCATCAAAGAAGATACAAGCAAGCGAAACAAACAAATGTCCAAAGGACAGCAACTTCGAGAGTTGAAGGAGCATCAGCCTATACAGATGTAAAAGAATCAGTGCAAGAACTCTGGCAACTCAAAAGGCAAGAGTGTCTCCTTACCTCTAAATGACCACACAAGTTCCCCAACAATTTTTCTTAATCAGGCTGAAATAGCTAAAATGACAGAAATAGAATTCAGAAGATAGAAAGGAATGAAGATCATCAACAATTAAGAGAAAGTTGAAATCCAATCCATGGATTCTAAAGAATACAATAAATGATACAGAAGATGAAAGATGAAATGGTCATTTTCAGAAAAAAACAAACTGAACTGACAAAGATGAAAAACTTACTTCAAGAATTTCAGAATACGGTTGCAAGTATTAACAGCAGAATTGACCAAGCTGAGGAAAGCATCTCAGAGCTCCAAACCTGTTTTCTGAAATAACACAGTGAAGATCAAATAAAGAAAAAAAATAATAAAGTTGAATGAACAAAACTTCTGAATAATATAGGATTATTTAAAGAGACCCAATTTATGACTCATTGGCATTCCTGAAAGACAGGAAGAGAAAGAAAACAACTTGGAAAACATATTTCAGGTTATTATTCATGAAAATTTCCCCAACCTTACTAAATAGGCCAACATTCAAATTCAGGAAGTGCAAAAAAAACCCCTGTGAAACAAGAAGACCACCTCCAGGACACATAGTCATCAGATTCTCCAAGGTGAAAATGAAATAAAAAATGTTAAAAGCAGCTAGAGAGAAGGGGCAGGTCACCTACAAAGGGAACCCCATCAGGCTAACAGTGGGCCTTACAGCAGAAATCCTATAAGCCAGAAGGGGTTAGGAGCCTACATCCAGCATTCTTAAAGAGAAGAATTTCTGACCAAGAATTTTGTATCCAGCCAAAGTAAGCTTCATAAGTGAAGAAGAAATAAAATGTTTTTCAGGCAAGTAAATGCTATCGGATTTTGCTGTCACGAGATTTGCCTTACAAGAGGTCCTGAAGGGAGGGCTAAACATGGAAAGGAAAGACAGTTACAAGCCACGACAAAAACACACAAGTACATAGGTCAATGACAATATAAAGAAACCACACAAAAATATCTGCATAATAACCCACTAACAAAATGATAACAGGAAGAAATTTGCACATGTCAATACTAACCTTGAATGTAAATGGGCTAAATATCCCTTAAAATTGAAAGGTGTAGATTGACAAGTTAGATAAAGGAGCAAGACTAAATGGTTTGTTGTCTTCAAGAGACCCATCTCACATGTGGTGACACCAAAAGACTCAAAATAAAGGAATGGGGAAAAATTTACCAAGCAAATGAGAAACCGAAAAAAAAACAGGGGTTGCTCTTCTAATTTCAGATAAAACAGACTTTAAACCAACAAAGATTTTAAAAAAATGAAACAAGGAAGTGCATTACTTAATGGTTAAGGGCTCAATTCAACAAGAAGACCTAACTATCCTAAATTATATGTACTGAACACAGGAGCACCCAGATTCATAAAGCAAGTTCTAGTGACCTATGAAGAGATTTAGATAACTATGCAATAATATTGGAAGACTTTAACACCCCAATAGCAATATAAGACGATCATTGAGGCAGAAAGCTAACATAAATATACAAGACATGAACTCAATGCTTGACAAAATAGACCTAAGAGACATCTACAAAACATTCCACCCACAGACAAGAGAATATACATTCTTTGCATCAGCACATGGCACACACTCTAAAAGTGACCAGACAATTGGAAATAAAACAATCTCCAAACAAACACTTAAAAACTTGAAATCATACTAACCACACTCTTGGATCACAGTGCAATAAAAATAGGAATCAGTACTAAGAAAGTCCCTGGAAACCTATAATTACACAGAAATTAAACAACTTGACCCAGAATAACTTTTTGGTAAATAATGAAATCAAGGCAGAAATCAAGAAATTCTTTGAAACTAATGAGAACAAAGATATAACATACCAGAATCTGGGACACAGCTAAGGTGACAAGAGGGAAATTTATAGCACTAAACATCAACATAAAAAAGTTGGAAAAATTTCAAAGCAGCAACCTAACATCACAAATAGAAGAACTAGAGAAACAAGAGCAAACCAACCCCAAAGCTAGTTGAAGACAAGAAATAACCAAAATCAAAGCAGAACTGAAGGAAAAATGAGACATAAAACTCATGCAAATGATGAATGAATCCAGGAGTTGTTGGTTTTCTGAAGAAATAAATAGGATAGACAGACTACTTGCTAGACTAATAATGAAAAAAGAGGGCAGATAAGAATAAAGTCAATCAGAAATGACAAACGGGATGTTACCACTTACCCCATAACAACAAAAAAACTCTCAGAGACTACTACAAATACCTCTATACACACAAATGAAAAAATGTAGGATAAATGGATAGATTCCTGGACACATACAACCTCCCAAGAGTAAACCAGGAATAAATTGAATCCCTGAACAAATCATAAGTTCAAAATTTGAATTTGAATCAGTAATAAAAAGCCTACTATCCAAAAAAGCCCAGAACCAGATGAACTCACAGTTGAATTCAACCACTTGTATAAAGAAGAGCAAGTATTATTCCTATGGAAGCTATTCCAAACATTGAGGAGAGGGAGTCCTCCCTAAGTCATTCTATGAGGCCACCATCATCCTGATACCAAAACCCTGGCAGAGACACAATAACAACAACAATAACAGGTCAGGCCAGTACCCTTGATGAACATAGATGCAAAAATCTTCAGTAAAATATTAGCAAACCAAATTGAGCAGCACATCAAAAAGCTAATCCACCATGACCAAGTAGGCTTTATATCTGGGATGCAAGGTTGTTTCAACACATGCAAATGAACAAATGTGATTCATTACATAAACAGAATTGAAAACAAAAACCACATGATTATTTTGTTACATGCAGAAAAGGCTTTTGATAAAATTCAACATCCCTTTATGTTAAAAATCCTCAAAAAACTAGGCATTGGAGGAATCTGCCTCAAAATAATAAGACATATATATAACAAATGCACAGCCAACATTATACTGAATGGGGAGCAGTTGAAAGCATTCTCCTTGCAAATCAGAAAAAGACAAGATGCCCATTTTCACCACTCCTAGTCAACATAGTACTGGAAAACCTGGCAAGAGAAAGAAATAAAACACATCCAAGTAGTAAGAGAGGAAGTCAAACTATCCCTGTTTTCAGACAATACGATTCTATACCTAGAAAATCCCATAGTCTCCACCCAAAAGCTCCTTGAGCTGATAAATAACTTCAGCAAAGTTTTAGTATACAAAATCAATGTACAAAAATCAGTAGCATTCCCATGCACCAACAGCATCCAAGTTGGCAGCCAAATCAAAAATGCAATCCCATTCACAATAACCATAAAAAGAATAACACCAAGGAATACAGTTATCCAGGGAATTGAAAGATCTCTACAATTAGAATTACAAAACACTACTCAAAGAAATCAGGGATGACACAAACAAATAGAAAAATATGCCATGCTCATGTACAGGAGGAATCAATATTGTTAAAATGGCCATTTACCAAAGGCAATTTATAAATTCAATGCTATTTCTATATAATATAGAAATGCCCAAAGCTCCTTGAGCTGATAAACAACTTCAGTAAAGTTTTGGGATACAAAATCCATGTACAAAAATTAGTAGCATTCCCATGCAACAACAGCATCCAAGTTGGGAGCCAAATCAAAAATGCAATCCCATTCACATGGGATATATAATGACATTCTTTATAGAATTAGGAAAAAACTAATTTAAAATTCACATGGAACCAAAAAAAAGGCCTGAGTAACCAAGGCAATCCTAAGCAAAAAGAGCAGAGCAGAAGGCATCATGTTACCCAATTTCAAACTATATTACAAGGCTACAGTAACCCAAGCAGCATGGTATGCCACAAAAGCAAACACATAGACTAGTGGGACAGAATAGAGAGTCCAGAAATAATGCTGCACACCTACAACCATCTGGTCTTCAACAAAGCTGACAAAAACAAGCAATGGGGAAAGGATTCCCTATTCTATAAATGGTGCTGGGTAACTGGCTAGCCATATGCAGAAGATTGAAACTGGACCCCACCCTTATACCATATGAAAAATCAACTCAAGATGGATTACAGATTTAAATGTAAAATAATAAACTAAAAAACCATGGAAGATAACCTAGGAAATACCATTCTGGAAATAGGAATGGAAAAAGATTTCATGACAATGATGCCAAAAGCAATTGCAACAAAAGCAAAAATTGGCAAATGGGACCTAATTAAACTAAAGAGCTTCTGTACAGCAGAAGAAATTATCAACAGAGTAACAGACAACCTACAAAATGGGAAAAAATATTTGCAGACTATACATCTGACAAAGGTCTAATAACCAAAACTTATAAGAAACTTGAACAAATTCACAAGCAAAAAACAATCAACCCCATTGAAAAAAGGTCAGAGGACAACAGACGCTTTTCAAAAGAAGACATACATGTGGCCAACAAGCATATGAAAAAAGTGCTTATCACTAACCATTAAAGAAATACAAATCAAAACCACAATGAGATACCAACTTGGATGGGCATGGTGACTCACGCCTGTAATCCCAGCAACCTGGGGAGCCGCAATAGGCATATCACTCGAGGCCAGAAGTTCCAGACCAGCCTGGGAAACATAGTAAAACCCCATCTCCACCAAAAAATACAAAAATTGGCCAGGCGTGGTGGCATGTGCCTTGTAGTCCCAGCTACTTGGGAAGATGAGGAGGAGAATCACTTGAACCCAGGAGGTGGAGGCTGCAGTGAGCCGAGATCATGCACTACACTCCAGCCTGAGTGACAGAGCAAAACTCCATCTCAAAAACAGAAAAAAAAAAAAAAAAAGATACCATCTCAACCAGTCAGAAAGGCTGTTATTAAGAAGTAAAAAAAAAATATGTGCTGGAGGGGTTGTATAGAAAAGGGAATACTTATATGCTGCTCTTGGGAATGTAAATTAGTTGAGCCATTATGGAAACCAGTGTGGCAATTTCTGAAAGAACATAAAACAGAATTACCATTTGACCCAGCAATCCCATTTTAAGTATGTAAGCCACCATCCCCCAACCTCAGCAAAATAAATCATTCTACCATAAAGACACATGCACTCATATTGTTCCTTGCAGCACTATCACAATAACAAAGATATGGAATCAGTCTAAATGTCCATAAATTGTAGACTGGATAAAGCAAATGTGGTACATATGCACCATGGAATACTATGCAGCATAAAAAATGAGATCATGCCCTTTGCAGCAACATAGACAGAACTGGACGATAGTATCCTAAGTGAACACAGGAACAGAAAACCAAATACCACACGTTCTCACTACTAAGTGGGAACTGAACATTGAGTACACATAGAATCAAAGAAGGGAAAAACAGACACTGGGACCTGACGGTGGAGGGTGGGAGGAGGGCGAGGATTGAAAAACTACCTATCGAGTACTATGCTTGTTACCTGGGTGACAAAATAATCTGTACACCAAACCCCAATGACATGCAATTTACCCATATAACAAACCTACCTATGTACCGCTGACCCTAAAATAAAAATTCAAAAGAAATTTAAACTTAGAAACTCTGTGCATAGAGGGATTAAATAAATATTCATGTCTTTTTACATTAAAAAAGAATGGTTTTTGTATAGTGCATCATAAAACATGTCAATCTTTGGAAGCTCTGCATAACTCAGTGAAACAATTTTTCCAAATGACCAAAAAGAATCATTTAACCTAGAATATAACCTAATAGATTTTAATGTAACAATACAAAAAGTTCATTGATATGGTTTATTAAAGATTAGTTGCTAGGTTGAAACTAAAACTATCCCAATTTTTGTGTAGAATCAGAAAATATATTCATAATCATCTGAAAAGGTTACTTATCAAGTTTTGGTGTAAAATCAAGAAAAATATTCACAATCGTCTGAAAAAGTTAATGCTTTTCTCTCTTCCAACTAGTAGTTATTTCTGTATGGCCTGATTTTCTTCATATACTTCCACCAAAACATATAGCAATAGAAGGCAGGCAGAACCAAACAGGAGGATCCTACTGTTATTAGAGCTAACTCTTCTCATTACATTTTATTTGTCTTGGAAAATATAATTATTCCTCAGAAGTAGTATATTAACATGCAATGGGCTTATTGCTGTTATTCATAAGCAACTTAATACACAAACAAGTTTAAAATTTGTCTCTTTTCATTTTGAATATGATAAACAATTGAAATAATCATATAAATAAATGTTCTTTGAGTTATTCAAAAATTTTAAGACTGTGAAGGAGTCCTGAGACCAAATGTGTTTGAAACAGTACCACAGACAACTAAAACACATTGTTTAACATTATACCACTGTTTAATGCAATTTAGATTGATCCATTTGTTATTTTTGTATTTTTTTCTTATATCTCATACTTTATGGTTTTTCCAATATCTATTTTCATTGTTTAGACAAGAAGATGCCCTCCTTAATCTCCCTATTGTCTTCTAATCTTGACAATCCTAAGGTCATTGCATTATTCACCGTATTTCACGTTATGTTTACATTTCTTTTCTTTCAGAATCATGTGTTAGACCAGAAGCTACATGCCATGCTATGTTGGCAAACCCACTCTGGGGGACTTTTTTTTAAGACCCCATTCCAAGTGTTTGCTGAGATCTTTAAGCTACCAAACTGACGTAACTATTTATGGTGTTGGAGTTGGAAAGAGATGCACGCAGCCTACTCTCCTGAGTGGTAGTGGCCAACTCCAACATACCCTGGTCTAGGTTGATATTAATGGCCAATGATTTGTGTTTTTTGAGAAAAGATAACTCCACTTTTTCCTATTTTCAACCAGAACTTATCTGTGGTGATGGTATTGATATCACTAATCAAAAATTAGAGTCCGTCTGTTTTCTGTTTTTCAATCTCTATCTAGTAGTCACCCATTTGGACCCTCAGTGTGTTATAGAGACAAAGCTGTAAAATGAATCAAATATTATTTGCTTTTGAAGTGCAGGTTCATATTATGCACTTTACATTTTAAATTTGACTATCTTCTGGATAATGTTATCTGCAAGGACTTTAAAGATTAATAGTTTGCCTTGCTAGTGCTTAAATTGTAGTTCTTGGACAGCAACTTCTACATCCCTTGAGATCTTGGTAGAAATGCAGACTCTCAGGCCTCATCCTAGACTTAATCAAATCTGCATTTTAACAAGATCCCCAGGTGATTCTTATGGAAACCATGTTTCTGAGCACTGGTTTAGGGTAATTTGAGCTCTAATGATTTCAGCTTCCTGCCTTATTATTGGAAAATTGTTGCTATATATATAGCCCTCATAAAATGTGTTATGATTAGACAAAATATCTCATGTTTTGGCTTGTTCCTTAGTTTGTCTTCAATGTTATTTTTCCATAGTTAGTTGAAGTCTCTTTCCAAATACTGAAATATTTCTATGTATTTTCAGAATCCATTTTCTTTAAAACAGATTTTCTATTCTCTTTTGAAGTATTAGATTCATCATTTCAGTTCCTATTAGATTTTTGTCTCCTTGAAAATATTGATGTGTAAATTCTTTGCTCTGTGGAATGATCAGTCAGAGTTGGTGCATATTTTTTCTTCCCTGTTGATTTGGAGATTACTTTTATGTGTTACTAAATTAGTAAAGTGTTAAAATGCTGTACCTTTGATTTCTGTGAATTATTCCAAGCCCTTGTCTATAAAGGCCAACATAATTTACTATCATATGGTTCAAGAGCTTGACAGAGAAATTGGACTTTTTGGGGAAGAAGAATGCATATAAAATGTATTAACAAATTTATAGGAGTTTAAACAAGTCCCTCTAAGGCAGCCGATCTCACCCTGACTGCACTTCAGAATTATTTGAGAAGATTTTAAGAACCTAGAGTACTGGCATCCTCTCCTAGAGACACTGGCTTAATTGGTCCAGCATTGTTTTCATGTGTTTGTATTTTTTCAAACTCTCGAAGTGATGCAAACCAGGGATTAAGAGTCACTGCTCTACCAAAGCACAAAGCCAAAAATAAACATGACTTGGTCAGCCACACAGTAACAGGAGTATCTTTCATTAAGGAGTCTACTTATCCTGGGTACTAGTATATAAAGTGATTAAATTTGTTAGCTGGGTCCATCAAATTTAGTTACATATCTTTAAGAAGTATGGAAATGTTTGTTTTCAACCTGCCTTTATGAAAACAGCAAAAATATTGAAGGAAGATAATGAGGTTACACTATGGAATAAATTATAGAAAGTTTAATAAATAGCAAATTTTAAGTTAAGTCTGCATGCACACTTAAAAGAATGTAAGGGTGAATGTATTGGCAATTTTCTCAAACCTATCCTCCAAGAAGAGGCAAAAATACAAATACAGCTGGTCCTCAACGTTGTTTGATTCAACATTGCTTTCTCATTATAATATTGAGAGTTGTCGGAGCCACTGTCTGTGTGGAGTTTGCACATTCTCTCTATATCTGTGTAGATTTTCTCTGGGTACTCTGGTTTCCTCCCACATCCCAAAGATGTGAACGTTAGGTTCATTGGCCTATCTAAATTGCCCTAATCTGAGTGAGTGTGGGTGTGGATGTATGTCCTGCAATGGAATCGCATCCTGTCCAGAGGTGGTCTCAACCTTGCACCCTGAGTTGCCTGAATAGGGTCCAGTCACCCTTGACTCTGAACTGGAATAATCTGGTTGGAAAATGGATGAATGAATGAATACAAATTATTGTAAAACAGAAATTTGTAAAGTATATAATAATCATACAAATGCATGATAATAAACGATGTGGTACAAAAGCAGTCAGTGACACTACCCTATTTGTGAGTGCTGGTATTTGAACTGTGTGGTGGTAGGAGGTGCTCCTCATAATTTTTGCTTTGAGAATATTTATTCTTTGATTTACCCCACCACCGCTGTGACCACTGATACTCACTGATTCACCAAACATGGGATAAATAATTATCTTACTTGTTTTTTATTAACCTTTCTTAAATGTGTGTATAGCTCAAATTTATTTCAATGTTTAATATTAGAATTGCTTGGTGTCTTTAGAAATTGAAGATGCTATTTTTGTGACTAGAAATATGCCATAGAAACTTAACTCTTGTTTAAATTAGCCTATGGTAAAATTGGTTTCATTATGTTATTTTGCTTGAAGTCACAGTTTCCAAGAACCTATCAATGACATTATGTGAGGATTTACTGGACATAATCTCAGGTGAGCCTAATGCATGAACACAAATTGGCCTAGCACAATAACCTGTGGTTATATAAAGTTTTGTTTTTCTTAAAATTTTCTGTTATTTTTTACATTCTATTTCATAAATATTTTATAATATACTTAATATTTGATCAAATATGTACATCCTACTTATTAATATATAATTTGAAATGTAATAGATATCTTAATATTGATATACTTAAAATTTTGTCAGAAAACTTGTCATTGGCAACTTCCTCAGATTAAAGGAGAGAAATACTAGATAAAGATTTTTGGTTTAATGTCATATATCTTTACGTGTTTGTCAAAAGAAGAAATATTTAGAGAGACTGTATTAGTCAGCTTGGGCTGCTACTACAAAATATGAGGAGCTGTATGGCTTAAACAACAGAAATTTACTTTTGCACAGTTCTGGGGACTGGAAGTCCAAAATCAGGGAATAGCGATGCGTCTTTCTGGTGAGGCCTCTCCCCTTGGGTTGAAGACGGCTGCCTTCTCTGTGCTTACCTGGCTTTTCCTTGGTGCAGGCACTCATGAGAGAGCTCTCTGGTGTCACTGCTTATAAAACCACTAATCCCATCAGACCTACCACCCTTATGATCTCACTTAACCTTAATTACTTCCTTAGAGACTCCAAATACACTCACTCTGGAAATAGAGCTTCAACATAGTAAATTTTGGGGTGGGGGAGACACAGATGCAAACATTCAGTCTATAACAGAGAGGATCTCAGTTTATCACATACCTTGCTTTTCTCACTCAACATATTCAGTATGCTACATATACTGTTTTTGAGCATGAATTGATGTATGTGTGTGAAAATTAGAAAGAAATATATACAAGCAGAGAAAGACACACACACACACACACACACACACAGAGATTAGCTAAAAATATTTTACGTATGAGCTAACATAATCCCCTCCACCTTCCTTCACAATGACCTAAAATTTTATGTCAAAAGCACATGTTGAAGCAGAGGATCCACATAATAAGAACAAGGCTTAAATTAAGAAGACTAAATCTATCTTGGGAAAGGAAGAAGCAACTGGGGATGATGGCCTAGTGCCTATCACTTCTTTTTGTATTTTTATTTTTATAAAGATGGGGTCTCACTTTGTTACCCAGGCTGGTTTCCAACTCCTGGCCTCAAGTGGTCCTCCCACCTCAGCCACCCAAAGTACTGGGATTACAGGCATGAACCACCATGCCCAGCCCCAATTATCACTTCTTAAGCCAGACAAAACATTGAGCTAGTCATGGAGCAGCTTCCTACTCAAATTTTTTTAAAATTTTTTTTATTATACTTGAAGTTTTAGGGTACATGTGCCCAACGTGCAGGTTTGTTATATATGTATACATGTGCCATGTTGGTGTGCTGCACCCATTAACTCGTCATTTAGCATTAGGTATATCTCCTAATGCTATCCCTCGCCACTCCCTCCACCTCACAACAGGCCCCAGTGTGTGATGTTCCCCTTCCTCTGACCATGTGTTCTCATTGTTCAATTCCCATCTGTGAGTGAGAACATGCGGTGTTTGGTTTTTTGTCCTTGTGATAGTTTGCTGAGAATGATGGTTTCCAGCTTCATCCATGTCCCTACAAAGGACACAAACTCATCATTTTTTATGGCTGCATAGTATTCCATGGTGTATATGTGCCACATTTTCTTAATCCAGTCTATCATTCTAACTCAAATTTTTGTAAAGAACTCCTTACTGAGCCTCTTATCTAATGTAGTGCCCAGGAAATCTTTCATTCAGCCACACCTGAGAGTCAGGAAGTAAATGAATGATTTCAAGATTTTCTCTTCCCTACCACTTTCCCCAGTTAAACCTAGTTGGGAAAGGAATAAGCATTTTAAACAAAAGATTGCTTTGCCCTTTATTATTTATTTGCTATTTGCTATTTTAGCTTGGAGGCTAAGAACATTTTATTTTTAAACTCTTGAAAATTTTTAAAAATGATTTTAAAATACAAAAAGCCCTCAACTTTTACTTATGAGATTAACGGTTCCATAAGACTCTTAGTTAAGGTGCTGATTATGAAATCTGCTGAAGCTACTAGTTAATTTGAAGCTACTAGTTAATTTGGTAAGAATAATGCTTTTTTAAAACTTATACTTTTTATTTATTTTAATTTTTAGGTGTATATGTTTATGGAGAACATGAGATATTTTGATACAGGCATACAATGCATAATAATCATATCAGGAAAATGGCATATCTATCACTTCAAGCATTTATACTTTGCAGCACAAAGAATACAATTATATTCTTTTAGTTATTTTTAAATGTACACTTGAATTGTTATTGACTGTAGTCACATTATTGGGCTATCAAATACTAGATCTAATTCATTGTTTCCAACTACTTTTTTTTGTATCTACAAACAATCCACACTTACTCCTACAGCCCCATTACCCTTCCCAGCTGCTGGTAATGATCATTCTCCTCACTGTCTCCATGAGTTCAATTGTTTCGATTTTTAGCTCCCACAAATAAGAGAACATGCAAAGTTTGTGTTTCTGTGCCTGGCATATCTCACTTAACAAAATGACCTCCAGCTCCATCCATGGTATTGCAAACGACAAGATCTCATGCTTTCTTATAGCTGAATAGTACTCCATTGTGTATATGTACCACATGTTTGCTATCCATTCATCTGCTGATGGACAATTAGGTTACTTTCAAATCTCGGATATTTGAATAGTGCTCAAGAAATATGGGAGTGTAGATATCTCTTCTATATACTGATTTCCTTTCTTTGGGGTATATATCTAGCAGTGGGATTGGTGGATAAGATCATATGGTAGCTCTGTTTTTAGTTTTTTTAAGGAGCCTTCAAACTGTACTCCATAGTGGTTGTACTAATTAATATTTAGTCAATTAGTGTATGAGGGTTCCCTTTTCTCCACATCCTTGTCAGCATTTGTCATTGCCTGTCTTTCGGATAAAAGCTGTTTTAACTGGGATGAGATGATATTTCATTGCATTTTTCTAATGATCATTGATGAGCACCTCTACATATATCTATTTTCCACTTGTATGCCTTCTTCTGATAAATGTCTACTGAGATCTTTTGCTCATTTAAAAAATCAGATTATGAGATTTTTTCCTGTAGAGTTTTTTTGAGATCATTATATACTTTATTAGTCCCTTGTCAGATGGATAGTTTGCAAATATTTTCTCCCATTCTTTGGGTTGTCTGTCCATTTTGTAGACTGTTTCCTTTTCTGTGCAGAAGGTTTTTAACATGATGTGATCCCATTTGTCCATTTTTGCTTTGGTTGCCTGTGCTTGTGGAGTATTACTCAAGAAATCTTTGCCACAGCCAATGTTCTAGAGAGTTTCCCTGATGTTTATTTTAGGAGTTTCATAGCCTTGAGGTCTTTATACCATGTTCTATCCTAATCAGCTTATAGAATAATTGCTATTTAACTGCTCTATAGCATACTTTTACGTACCTGAGAGTTATCATATCTTCTTTTTATCTTGTTTTTCTGTTTCCAGCAGGGCCAAATCTCCTAAACTCCACTCAAATTTTCTGACTCTGTGAGTTTTGCAGATTGTCTGTGAATTTTGTGGTGAATATATATATCTGCCTCCTCTCTCCCCCATTATTAATTGGTATCAGGGTTTTCCTTGGAAACAATAAAGATGCCTTGTAAATAATAAACACTCTGATTTGAGATCTTGAAATAAGCACAATATTATGGAAAATTTTGTGTCTTCAGTAGTATAAAATTAAGAGGAAAGATAGTGTCTTTGATTTTCACCATTACTTTATTTTATATGTGTGTGTGTGTTAAAGTTAATTATAAACTAATATTAATTTTCTGTAAATAATATGTAGGCCTATACACATAGATGACTACATGTTTTTACTATACACGTTAATACAGCAGCTATGTGTATGAACGATTGAGTGCATGTGTGTGTATTTTTGTATTGCTGTTGGAATTTTCAAATATTTTATGGCAGAAATGGCTAATTAGCTTAGCTTAAGTTTTGTACACTTCTTACTTTTTAAAAATAGTTTACTTGCTCATAATTATTTGAAATTTTTCAAGTCATTTTACACCAGTACTCTCATTCTGATTCCCTCAACAACCCTGCGAGGTAAGAAGATGTAGCAGTTATGGTTTTCTCCTCCTATAATACCGGGAACTCTAATGTTATTCACAGCAGGAATATGTTTAAAAATTTTATTTCCCAGCCTCCTTTGAAGCTTGAAGAGGCCACGTGATATGAATATGGTCTTGTTGCCAATTACTTGCAAGTGGAAGTTGGCTGGGGATTTCTAATATAGGCTTGCCCCATTTTCCTAGTTTCTTTCTCCTCCTCCTCTTGTTCTTGATAAATTGATGTTATAACTGAAGGCCCAGCGATTATCTTTGAGCATGAGGGAAATGCCACGGGATCACATTGATCTCAGCCTAAACGTTCTTGTTTGTACCACTCTATCTGTTCTGGCCTGTTCCCATAGATCTCATGTGACTAAAAATCTAAACCATTTTGTTGTTGTTGTTACATGTTGCCAAACATATTTCAAAAATGGCATGGAAATATAATGTTATGCATTTATGTGTATAGATCAGAAAATGGAGGCTGATTTGTTTTATGGCCAAATAATTGGTACAGTGCAAATCCCAACTGAGAAATTAAGAAAAGAAAAAAATCAGCCCAATATACTTAGAAGACAAAAGAAACTCATATCTATGTGAGATAAGGAATTTGTTACCTTTAAATCTGACCTGTTTATAAAACAAAACTCTGATTTCCACCACTTTCCTGCTCTGTTTTCACTTGCTTTTTTAAAGATAGAATTACATACCAGGAATTCTTGACATATCTAGTAGTTGAAGAATAGCTAGTTGGTGATGTGTAAAACCCTAACTTTCCCAATAATATGTCTGATCTCCCTTCTCTTGCACCATTTATGCTTCTTCAAACTTACCAAAAGCTTGCATGCTACTTATAATTTTCTTATATAAGTCTTTCTTGTGTTTCAGAATCATATTATTCATTATCATGCCCTCGTTTAAGCATTACTTTCTTGGGAAAACCTTTTCAGATCTACCCCAGTTTATACATCTCTCTTATGGGAGCTATTACCATATGTTTCTTTTAAATTAGTTGTGAAGATGTTAACCCTGGACTTCTTAAATGTCTAATTCAAGTCCTTATAATTATTTCATGACACCAATACTGACAAAACTAGCACACAGAAGATGTTCAATTAATGTTTCCTGTGTTTTCATAGGATAAAAAAAAACAGAATCAAGCATTGAAAATAATATTGCTTTCACATTCTTATATTTGTTAATGAATGCTTTTAAATTGTGGTTCATGAAATCAATTTAGTGGGCCATGATTAGCACTTTACAAAAATAAAATAGAATATAATACAAAAGATACAATATCTTAGAAACATCAGAGTACATCATATAATATTTTCTTGGTTAATATAATCATTCATGTATCCATTTAAAAAATACTTATTGTGCACCTACTATGTTCCCTGCACTGGTTAACATGTATATATATATATATATATATATATATATATATATATATATATATACACACACACACACACACACACACACACACACACACACATATATGCTGGGATACTGGGTCATATAAAATGTGTTTTAATTTTGGGTATAGTCTCATTTATTTGAAATATCTAGGATTCCTGCCTGTCAAGCCACTCCTTGTGGGATAATTATATTCCCTGTCCATTGAGATTTGGTTTGGGAACATGACTTGATCTGGCCAATTAAAAAGAGGGAAGTGATGTGTACTACTTCCAAGCAGAAGATTTAGAAGTCATCTTATGGTTCCATCTTTGCTCTTTTTTTCTGTGCCATAAATCTGATGATATCCCAGATAGAATATGATCCATAATCCTGAGTCTTGGAAAGAAAATGACATAGAGTAGAACTGTACTCAATCCCCAATGGACATATATTAGATGCAAGAAACAAAGCTGAGGGCGAGAGAGAGAGAGAGAGAAATTTGAGACTCATTTGCTGCAACAGCCTAACTTGGGCCAAAGTAACTATTTTCTGCTGAGTAGATACTGAACAAGAACTCCTTGGTTTGAGGGGAAAACAGTATGGATGGGAATGCATGAAAGAAAAAAATGATATTGGGAATATAATTTTTCTTATACAGATCTTTCTAATATTTCACAATTCTATTATTCATGACCTAGTTCATGCATCACTTTCTTGGGAAAGCCTTTTCAGATATACCCCAGTATATACACCTCTCTTATGGGAGCAATCAACATGTGTCTTTTAGATTAGTTGTCAAGGTATTAACCCTAGGCTTTTGAAATGTCTAATTCAAGTCCTTATAATTATTTCATGACACCAATACTAACATGATTAGCACACAGAAGATGTTCAATTAGTGTTTACTATGTTTTCATGGAAAAAATATACAAATATTTTCTTAATATGCAAATATTGCCAATATTGTCTTTGGACAAAGTATCCCAAGCAAAGAAACCCCAGTTAGAGGGACTATGGTATATATAAACATAAACGTGCGTGAGAGAATGTGACAAATGTCTGCTTTCATGATGTTCATAGTCATTGGGAATATTGTCATCATCAATGTTAATTATAGATATGTGCAAATAAAGTGAGAAAAAAATCCTAAAAGTGACATCTATCTGCAAATAAATATTCAAAATAAAGTTGTTTGTGTGGACATTTTGTCATCTTTCAGCACAACTATTATGTATATCATTAGAAGTATGTCAGAATAGCTTTGTTGTTTTGATTACCAAAATAAACTCTAAACATGTTCAACCAGTTTTCATGGTTTCATGCTTATGCTGCCTGTTCTTATGGTCACAAAATAAGAAAAAAATTGTAATGCATAATTGTCAGTCCTAAAGATTTTCTCTTAATATACAAAAGCATGTATTTTTTTTCTTCTTTGAAACTAGTATAATAATATCTGTCTACTTAAAATGTTTACTGGGCCAACTTATTCTGCCTGACAGGCCTCCAAATTCAGTCTGATATAAGAATTCAGTTAATGAAATTTAAAGCAGCCTCATTTTCATCCTTTTTTTAAACACAACTATGTATTAGAAATCTGGTGAAGGCTTCTGTCAAATTGAACTATTGAACTCAGGGCAGTAAAAGTCCCTCCCCAGGCAAGAGATTTAAATCATTTTCAAAGTTAATTTCCTGCTCCCAGATGGAGAACAAATCTAATCGGGTTTACTTCATTCTTTGGATGAACAGGAAAATGTCACTTGCATACTCAAAAAATGAAAAGAAAATCTTAGGGAAGGCAGCCTCCAATCCACCTCACAGCAGAAAAAGAAAGTAATCCTGAAATGGAATGTATGGGGTCATTTTGAAACTGAAAGCAAATCTAAATTTAATCTAGACAAATCTCTAAGCTTACTTCTAACCTAGTTCTGTTCAGAGATGATGTCTGTTTACCCCTGAAATACACGTTTTTAAAACTGTTCGCTGTAAATGGGAAAAACAGTTTCTAGTCCTAAAAAGGAATCTGAGTAAACTGCCTGAACTTAATCTGTGAAATGAGGTTAGAACCCTTCAAAGCCCTTTGGATAGTAGAGGAATTTTGCTCCTTATCAGCTACAGCTTAAAAATAAAATAGGGTGAGTTGACGTTTGAATTACAGAATAATGGGACTATAGAAAAAGTGAAGTAAATATTCTTGTTCTTGATTTAACAGCTGCTGGATTCTATTTAAAGCTTTGTTGCTATGTACCTGTTAGAAAAGATTCACATCTGCTGTCAGGCAGACATTGAGTGCCCACATCCCTCAATTGTGTTCTTTCTTGGCAACAAAAGCATCCTCAGTAAAGATGCAGGCATATCATTAGTTCTTCATGAAACAGGTTGACACTGGCTGGGCTTCCCTCAATCTACCCTACCACATATAGCTTTGCATGGCTTCCATGAAAAGAAAAGCAGTAGGTTACAATCTAACATGGAGATATTTTCCTAAGTAACTTATATAACTTTGTCTGTGCTTGAAGAACAAATTACCCCTGAAGTCAACAATACAAAGAAATCTTTTCAGAAAGGGCTGCAATGGAATTGATATTAAAGTTTACATTTACTTATGAATATAAAGTAGGAAAACACTTACGCAAAGGCATTTAGAGTTTAAAGTAGGATTTCATCCATTCTTTGTTTTACATGTGAGTTCAGGTTGCAGGACTGCAATTTATTGTTTAAAGTACATTTGTTTGTTTTACTCTATTGCTTAATCCAAAACATGTCTGGATAATTAAAAGTAAATTGTCTATATCTAATAAGCAGAATACTCAAAAATCAATAACAAACATTTATAGATTAAAAAGAGGACTTCAGGGGTCTATTCTCTTTCAAAACATGGATATTGTTGCTCAGTCAAAACAAGGTAAGTTTTGAGACATCTCTATGAGCCATGAGTTTTCTCTCTCTATATATATATATACTTTAAGTTCTGGGATACATGCGCAGAATGTGCAGGTTTGTTACATAGGTGTACACGTGCCATGATGGTTTGCTGCAACCATCAACCCGTCATCTACATTAGGTGCTTCTCCTAATGCTATTCTTCCCCTACCCTACTACCCCCTGACAAGACCTGGTGTGTGATGTTCCTCTCCCTGTGTCCATGCGTTCTCATTGTTCAGCTCCCACTTATGAGTGAGAACATGCTGTGTTTGGTTTTCTGTTCCTGTGTTAGTTTGCTGAGAATGATGGTTTCCAGCTTCATCTATGTCCCTGCAAAGGACATGAACTCATTATTTGTATAGCTGCATAGTATTCTATAGTGTATATGTGCCACATTTTCTTTATCCAGTCTCTCATTGATGGGCATTTGGGTTGGTTCCAAGTCTTTGCTCTTGTGAATAGTGTTGCGATAAACATACATATGCATGTGTCTTTATAGTAGCGTGATTTATAATCCTTTGGGTATATACCAAGTCATGGTATTGCTAGGTCAAATTGTATTTCTGGTTGTAAATCCTTGAGGAATCGCCACACTGTCTTCCACAATGGTTGAACTAATTTACATTCCCACCAACAGTGTAAAAGCGTTCCTATTTCTCCACATCCTCTCCAGCATCTGTTGTTTCCTAACTTTTTAATGATCGCCATTCCAACTGGTGTGAGATGGTAACACATTGTGATTTTGACTTGCATTTCTCTAACGACCAGTGATGAGCTTTTTTTCATATGGTTTTTGGCCACATAAATGTCTTCTTTTGAGAAGTGTCTATTCATATGCTTTGCCCACATTTTGATGGGGTTGTTTTTTCTTGTAAATTTGTTTAAGTTCCTTGTATATTCTGGATATTAGCCCTTTGTCAGGTGGATAGATTGCCAAAATGTTCTCCCATTCTGTAGGTTGCCTGTTCACTCTTATGATGGTTTCTTTTGCCGTGCAGAAGCTCTTTAGTTTAATTAGATCCTGTTTGTTTATTTTGGCTATTGTTGCTAGTGCTTTTGGTGTTTTAGTCATGAAGTCTTTGCCCATGCCTATGTTCTTAATGGTATTGCCTAGATTTTCTTCTAAGGTTTTTATGGTTTTAGGTCTTATGTTTAAGTCTTTAATCCATCTTGAGTTAATTTTTGTATAAAGTGTAAGGAAGGGGTCCGGTTTCAGTTTTCTGCATATGGCTAGCCACTTTTCCCAACACTGTTTATTAAACAGAGAATCCTCTCCCCGTTGCTTGTTTTTGTCAGGTTTTTCAAAGATCAGATGGTTGCAGATGTGTGGCAGTATTTCTGAGGTCTCTGTTCTGTTCCGTTGGTCTTTATATCTGTCTTGGCACAAGTACCATGCTGTTTTGGTTACTGTAGCCTTGTAGTATAGTTTGAAGTCAGGGAGTGTGATGCCTCCAGCTTTGTTCTTTTTGTTTAGGATTGTCTTGGCTATATGGGCTCCTTTTTGGTACCATATTAAATTTAAAGTAGTTTTTTTCTAATTCTGTGAAGAAAGCCAATGGTAGTTTGATGGGAAGAACATTGAATCCTTAAATAACTTTGGGCAATATGGCCATTTTCATGGCATTGATTCTTCCTATCCATGAGCATGGAATGTTTCTCCATTTGTGTCCTCTCTTATTTCCTTGGTTTGTAGCTCTCCCTCAAGAGTTCCTTCACATCCCTTGTAAGTTGTATTCCTAGGTATTTTATTCTCTTTGTAGCAATTGTGAATGGGAGTTCACTCATGATTTGGCTCTCTGTTTGTTTGTAATTATTGGTGTATAGGAATGCTTGTGATTTTTGCACACTGATTTTGCATCCAGAGACTTTGCTGAAGTTGCTTATCAGCTTAAGGGATTTTGGGCTGAGACAATGGGGTTTTCTAAATATACAATCATGTCATCTGCAAACAGAGACAATTTGACTTCCTCTCTTTCTATCTGAATACACTTTATTTCTTTCCTCCTGCCTGATTGCCCTCACCAGAACTTCCAATATTATGTTGAATAGGAGTGGTTAGGGAGGGCATCCTTTTCTTGTGCTGGTTTTCAAAGGGAATGCTTCCAGCTTTTGTCCACTCAGTATGATATTGGCTGTTACTATTTTGAGATACTTTCCACTGATAACTAATTTATTGAGAGTTTTGGCATGAAGATGTGTTGTATTTTATCAAAGGCCTTTTCTGCATCTATTGAGATAATCGTGTGATTTTGTCATTGGTTCTGCTTATGTGACAGATTACGTTTAACTTGTTTATGTTGTATCAGCTTTGCATCCCAGGAATGAAGCCAACTTGATCGTGGTGGATAAGCTTTTTGATGTGCTGCTGGATTCATTTTGCCTGTATTTTACTGGCGATTTTTGCATCAATGTTCATCAGGGATATTGGCCTAAAATTTCCTTTTTTATTGTGTCTCTGCCAGGTTTTGATATCAGGATGATGCTGGCCTCATAAAATGAGTTAGGGAGGAGTTCCTCTTTTTCTATTGATTGGAATAGTTTCAGAAGGAATGGTATCAGCTCCTCGTTGTACCTCTTGTAGGATTTGGCTTTGAATCCATCTGGTCTTCGGCTTTTTTTTTGGTTGGTAGGCTATTAATTATGGCCTCAATTTCAGAACTTTTTATTGGTGTATTCAGGGATTTGACTTCTTCCTTGTTTAGTCTTGGGAGGGTGTATGTGACCAGGAATTTATCCATTTCTGCTAGATTTTCTAGTTTATTTGTGTAGAGGTGTTTATAGTATTCTTTGATGGTAGTTTGTATTTCTGTGGGATCAATGATGATATCTCCTTATCATTTTTATTGTATCTATTTGAATCTTCTCTCCTTTCTTCTTTATTAATCTGGCTAGTGGTCTATTTTGTTAATCTTTTCAGAAAACCAGCCTCTGGATTCATTGATTTTTTGAAGGGTTTTTCATGTCTCTATCTCCTTCAGTTCTACTCTGATCTTAGTTACTTCTTGTCTTCTGCTAGCTTTTGAATTTGTTTGCTCTTGCTTCTCTGGTTCTTTTAATCGTGATGTTAGGGTGTCGATTTTAGATCTTTCCTGCTTTCTTCTGTGGGCATTCAGTACTATAAGTTTCCCTCTAAACATTGCTTATGCTGTGTCCCAGAGATTCTGGTACATTGTGTCTATGTTCCTATTGGTTTCAAAGAACTTATTTATTTCTGCCTTAATTTCCTTATTTACCCAGTAGTCATTCTGGAGCAGGTTGTTCAGTTTCCATGTAGTCATGCATTTCTGAGTGAATTTTTTAATCTTGAGTTCTAGTTTGATTGCACTGTGGTCTGAGAGACTGTTATGATTTCCATTCTTTTGCATTTGCTGAGGACTTTTTTTACTTCCAATTATATGGCCAATTTTAGAATAAGTGTGATCTGGTGCTGAGAAGAATGTATATTCTGTTGATCTGGGATAAAGAGTTCTGTAGTTTTCTATTGGGTCCCCTTGGTCCAGAGCTGAGTTCAAGTCTTGAGTATCCTTGTTAATTTTCAGTCTTGTTGATCTGTCTAATATTGACATTGGGGTGTTAAAGTCTCCCATTATTATTGTGTGGGCATCTAAGTCTCTTTGTAGGTCTCTAAGAACTTGCTTCATGAATCTAGGTGCTCCTGTATTAGGTGTCTATATATTTAGGATAGTTAGCTCTTCTTGTTGCATTGATCCCTTTACCATTACGTGATACCTTTCTTTGTGTTTTTTGATTTTTGTTGGTTTAACATCTGTTTTACCTGAGACTAGGATTGCAACCACTCTTTTTTTTCTTCTTTCCATTTGCTTGGTAGATCTTCCTCCATCCCTTTATTTTGAGCCTATGTGTGTCTTTGCATTAAGATGGGTCTCCTGAATACAGCACACCAATGGGTCTTGGCCCTTTATCCAATTTGCCAGTCTGTGTCTTTTAGCTGGGGCATTTAGTCCATTTACATTTAAGGTTTAGGGTTAATCTTATTATGTGTGAATCTGATCCTGTCATTATGATGCTAGCTAGTTGTTTTGCTCCTTAGTTGAGGCAGTTTCTTCATAGTGTCGATGTTCTTTACAATTTAATATGTGTTTGCAACAGCTCTAAACAGTTTTTCCTTTCTATATGTAGTGTGTCCTTTAGGAGCTCTTGTAAGGCAGGCCTGGTGGTGACAAAATGTCTCAGCATTTGCTTATCTGTAAAGGGTTTTATTTCTCCTTTGCTTGTGAAGTTTAGTTTGGCTGGATATGAAATCCTGGGTTGAAAATTCTTTTCCTTAAGGATGTTGAATATTGGCCGCCACTTTCTTCTGGCTCATAGGTTTTCTGCAGAGATATCTGCTGTTAGTCTAATGGGCTTCCTTTTGCGGGTAACCCGACCTTTCTCTCTGGCTGCCCTTAACATTTTTTCCTCCACTTCTTCATTGGTGAATCTGACGATTATATGTCTTGAGGCTGCTCTTCTTGAGGACTATCTTTGTGGTGTTCTCTGTATTTCCTGAATTTGAATATTGACCTGTTTTGCTAGGTTGTGGAAGTTTTCCTGGATAATATCTTGAAGGTGTTTTGAAACTTGGTTCCATCCTCCCTGTCACTTTGAGGTACACTAATAAAACGTAGGTTTGGTCTTCTCACATAGTCCCATATTTTTTGGAGGCTTTGTTCCTTTTCATTCTTTTTTCTCTAATCTTGTCTTCATGCTTTATTTCATTTAGTTGATCTTCAATCTCTGATATTCTTTCTTCTGCTTGATCAATTCATCTGTTGATGCTTCTGTATGCTTCATGAAGTTCTCTTGCTGTGTTTTTCAGCTCCATCAGGTCATTTATGTTCTTCTCTAAACTGGTTATTCTAGTTAGCAATTCCTCTAACCTTTTTTCAAGGTTCTTAGCTTCCTTGCATTGGGTTAGAAAATGCTTCTTTAGCTCAGAAGAATTTGTTATTACCCACCTTCTGAAGCCTACTTCTGGCAATTTGCCAAACTCATTCTCCATCCAGTTTTGCTCCCTTGCTGGCGAGGACTTGTGATCCTTTGGAACAGAAGAGGCATTCTAGTTTTTAGAATATTCAGCCTTTTTGCACTGGTTTTTCCTCATCTTCATGGATTTTTCTATCTATGGTCTTTGATGTTGGTGACCTTCGTATGGGGTTTTTCTGTGGATGTCCTTTTGTTGATGTTGATGCTATTTCTCTATGTTTGTTAGTTTTCCTTTTGTCAGGCCCCTCTCCTGCAGGTCTGCTGGAGTTTGCTGGATGTCCACTCCAGACCCTGTTTGCCTGGGCATCACCAGTGGAGGCTGCAGAACAGCAAAGATTGCTGCCTGTTCCTTCCTCTGGAAGCTTCATCCCAGAGGGGCACCTGCCAGATGCCAGCTGGAGCTCTCCTGTATGTGGTGCGTGTCAACCCCTGCTGGGAGGTGTCTCCCCATCAGGAGGCATGGGGGTCAGGGACACACTTGAGAAGGCAATCTGTCCCATAGCAGAGCTTGAGTGCTGTGCTGGGAGATTGGAGGCTCTTTTCAGAGACAGTAGGCAGGAACATTTAAGTCTGCTGAAGTTGTGCTCACAGTTGCCCCTTGCCCAAGGTGCTCTGTCCCAGAGAGATGGGAGTTTTATCTGTAAGCCCCTGACTGCGGCTGCTGCCTTTCTTTCAGACATGCCCTGACCAGAGAGGGGGAATCTGGAGGGAAAGTCTGGCTCCAGTTGCTTTGCTTAGCTGCAACGGGCTCCACCCAATTTGATCTTCTGGGTGGCTTTATTTATACTGTGAGGGGAAAACCACCTACTCAACCCTCAGTAATGGCAGATACCCCTCCCCCACAAAGCTAGAGCATCCCAGGTGGACTTCAGATTGCTGTGTTGGCAGTGAGAACTTCAAGTCAGTGGATCTTAGCTTGCTGGGCTCCATGGGGGTGAGATTCCTTGAGCTAGACCACTTGGCTCCTGGCTTCAGCATCCCCTTTCCAGGGGAGTGAGTGGTTCTGTTTCACTGAAGTTCCAGGCACTACTGGGGTATGAAAATAAACTCCTGCAGCTAGCTTGGTGTCTTCTCAAATGGCCACCCAGCTTTGTGCTTGAAATCCAGGGCCCTGGTGGTGTAGGCACCTGAGGGACTTTCCTGGTCTGTGGGTTGTGAAGACCATGGGAAAAGCATAGTATGTGTGCCAGAATGCACCATTCCTCAAGGCACAATCCCGCACAGTTTCCCTTGGCTAGGGGAGGGAGTTCCCAACCCCTTGCACTTCCAGGGTGAGGCAATGCCCCATCCTGCTTCAGCTTGCCCTCCGTGGGCTGCAATCACTCTCTAACCAGTCCCAGTGAGATGAGCTGGGTACCTCAGTTGGAAATGCAGAAATCACCCACCTTCTGCATTGATCTCGCTGGGAGCTGCCAACCAGAGATGTTCCTATTTGGCTATCTTGCCAGCCATCCTTTTCTCTCTTTTTTTTTTTAAGTTCAGGAGTACATGTGCAGGTTCGTTATATAGGTAAACTTATGTCACAGGGGTTTGTTGTAGAGATTATTTCATCACCCAAGTATTAAGCCTAGTATCCCTAAGTTATTTTGCCTGACCCTCTCTCTCCTCCCACCGCACACCCTCTGGTAGGCCCCAGTGTCTGTTGTTCCCCCCTATATGTCCATGTGTTCTCATCATTTAACTTTCAGTTATAAGTGAGAAAGTGTGGTATTTGGTTTTCTGTTCATGTGTTAGTTTGTTAAGGATAATGGCCTCCAGCTCCATCCATGCTCCTGCAAAGAACGTGATTTAATTCTTTTGTATTATACATATACATACGGTGTATATATACCACATTTTCTTTATCGAGCCTACCATTGATGGGTATTTAGGCTGACTCCATGTCTTTGCTATTCTAAATAGTGCTGCAATGAACATATGCATGCAGGTATCTTTATGATACGATGATTTATATTTCTTTGGATATATATACAGCAATGATATTGAAGGGTTGAATGGTAGTTCTGTTTTTATGTCTTTGAGGAATCAGCACACTGCTTTTCACTATGGTTGAACTAATTTTCACTCCCACCAAACAGTGTATAAGCTTTCCTGTTTTCTCCACAACCTTGCCAGCATCTGTTAATTTTTGACTTTTTAATAGCCATTCTGACTGGTGTGAGATGGTATCTCATCATGGTTTTGATTTTCATTTTTCTAATGCTTAGTGATGTTGAGCTTTTTTTCATATGCTTGTTAGCCACATGTATATTTTCTTTTGAAAAGTGTCTGTTCCTGTCCCTAGCCCACCTTTTAATGAGGTTGTTTGGGTTTTTTCTTATAAATTTATTTAAGTTATTTGTAGATGCTGGAAATTAGAACTTTGTCAGATGCACAGTTTGCAAACACTTTCTCCCATTCTGTATGTTGTCTGTTTACTCTGTTGATAGTTTCTTTTGCTGTGCAGAAGCTCTTTAATTTAATTAGGTCCCATTTGTCAATTTTTGTTTTTGTTGCAATTGCTTTTGGGGTCTTAGTCATGAAATCTTTACCCTTTCCTATATCCAGAATGGTTTTGCCTCAGTTGTCTTCCCAATATTTTTACCATTTTGGGTTTTACATTTAGGTCTTTAATTCATCTTGAGTTGATTTTTGTATATAGTGTGTGATGTTTAATACTGAGTGTCAACTTGATTGGATTGAAGGATGCAAATTATTGTTCCTAGGTGTATCTGTGAGGGTGTTGCCAAAAAACATTAACATTTGAGTCAGTGGACTGAGAGAGACTGACCCACTTTCAATCTGGTTGGGCATCATCTAATTAGTTGCCAGTGCAGCTAGAATAAAGCAGGCAGAAGAAGATAGAAAGAACAGACTTGCTGATTCTTCCAGCCTTTATCTTTCTCGCATACTGGATGCTTCCTGCCCTCAAACATCAGACTCCAAGTTCTTCAGCTTTTGGACTCTTGGACTTACACCAGTGGTTTACCAGGGGCTCTCAGGCCTTCCATGACAGACTGAAGACTGCACTGTCGGCTTCCCTAATTTTGAGGTTTTCAGACTCGGACTGGCTTCCTTGCTCTTTAGCTTGTAGATGGTGTATTGTGGGACTTCACCTCATGATTGTGTCAGGCAGTACTGCTTAATAAATTCCCCTTTATATTAGTTCTGTCTTTCTAGATAACCCTGACTAATACATGAAGTAAGGAAGGAGTCCAGTTTCAATTCTCTGCAGATGGGTAGCCTGTTATCCCAGCACCATTTATTGAATAGGAAGTCCTTTCCTCATTGCTTGTTTTTGTCAGCTTTGTCAAAGATTAGATTATTGTAGGTATGCAGCCTTACTTCTGGGCTTTCTATTCAGTTCCATAGGTCCATGTGTCTGTTTTGGTACCACTGCTTTGCTGTTTTGGTTACCATAGCCCTGTAGTTACAGTTTAAAGTTGAGTAGTGTAATGCCTCTTGCTTTGTTCTTTTTGCTTAGAATTGCTTTGGCTATTCAGGCTCTTTTTTTGGTTCCATATGAATTTCAAATAGTTTTTTTATAGTTTTGTGAAGAATGTCATTGGTAGTTTGATAAGAATAGCTTTGAATCTTGTAAATTGCTTTGGACAGTATGGCCATTTTAACAATATTGATTCTCCTATGCATGAACATGGAATGGTTTTCCATTTTTTTGGAGGCACTGGCTTTCAATGACTGTTGGATAAATTTTTCTTTTAATTTCAATATTTTTTTCATGGGTTCTTGATTAGGTAGTATTACTATATTGAGCAAATGTTTAAACAACTTTCCAAACCTGAAACATCAAATTATAAAACCTACCAGGCAAATTTTAGCTGATTTCTTCTACATAGCTGGTTATGCCCACTGGAAACTTAGAACTAGTAAGGGCAATAAAACACATTCATGAATTAAAGTAATATAACACGGATGCTATAGGAATTACAGATAAAATAAGCAACTAATGATTCCTAGGAAGGGTCATTTTCTTTCAGAAACAAACAAGGATGACTTCATGGAAAAAATAAATTGGAGATGGATTTTAAGGTTAGGGTGGGATTTCCACAGGTGAAATAAATTTTGGGGATAAAACACTGCCTACCACACAGATGTAAAAATATAAACAGAAGTATGGAAGCAAGAAGTAAAGAAAAAAGCAATAATGATTATTGTTATCATTTATTGAGTACTTATGGTGTGCCATAAATTAAGCTGAGGTTTTATATATACTGTCTTTAATACTCCTACAGGAAGAGTACTGTTATCTTTATCTTATAGAAATGTAAAAAATTGAGGTGAGGTTCAATAATTTCAGAGACATCAAGCAAATACAATGTAGAAAATCCAGAATTTATGTTTACATCTGCCTGACTCTAAAATTTGTGGTATTTTTGGTATGTCCATGCTGTTCAGGCCAAGTAAAGCAAGGTCCAAGAACAGGGATTGTTCAACCATGTTCAATGCTACTGAGAAGTTGAATAAGGGAAGTGAGAACTGACCTTTGGCTATGACCAGAAGATCACTATTGGCATTGAAAGGAACAGTTTCAAAGTTCTGTTGAGGCTGAATTCTTGATTACAGTGGATTCCAGAGAGAATGAAATGTGAGAAAATGGAGACATTGATGGTAGACAAATCTTTAGAGAATTTGACTGTGTAGGAGAGGAGAAAAATAATTTTCTCTCTATCCTTCATAGTTCTTAGCTAGGAAAAAGATAGTTTACTAATGGAAAAACAAACAAACAGATTTATCATGTATATCTCATATATACATGGGAGATAGGGGAAAAGAGCATATCTCAACAAGGCAGCCTAGAACTCTGGCTGTGATACAGCATCTTCAACTCAAAGAAAGAAAGAAGGGTGTTGGGGAGGCCAGATATGGGAAATTTATGGTAGATAAAAGGTAGTTAGTGAAGTTTGTTATATAGATTCCTCTGGTTCCATATCCAGGTTTGTAATGGTCTGAAGTAATCTCTAGTGATCAGCCTGTCTTTCCTGGTAGAGGGGGATGGAGGGACACTTTTTAAATGTAGGTCCTGCTTTTAGGTTAATAGAGTGTGGGGGCCAATGGGGAACTTCCCCTTTGGAAGGTTCTCTGAAAAATCTGCTTGCACAAGGCAGATTAGTACAAGAAAAGACATGTAAATGTGTTTAACACGTGTACACAGTAGCCTTCAGAATGAAGACCCAAAGATACAGAGGAAATTGCTCATTTTTATGCTGAAGGTCAACAAAGTATGGACAGCCATGTAGAAATATGGGTGGTCAAGGAAGGACACAGTGAAACAGTGCAGGTCAGATAATTTCTTTATGACCAGCTTTTACAAAGATAGGGCAAAGGGAAAGTTAGAGTAATATTTTTAGGTTTTATGACTGGTTTTAGGAAAAAAGGGTTCTTGGTTTCTATAACCCTACTTGAGGAAGAGGGATTCTAGTTTCTATGGCTAGCCTTGGCAGAGAATGGGACTGAGATACAGGAGGGTTGGAGAAGTTCAGAGAAAAACTTTTGCTTCTGAGGCCTTTGTTTTGGGATATTGTTTTGTGAGTCCCAGCAGAGAAGAGGCAGAGACTTTTCTTGTATCTGCTTCTGAATTTCCTTCAGCTCAAAATAATTCTTAAGCCAAAGTGGCATATTTTATATTGGATATTCTGCTGTCTTTCAGCTATCAAGAAAAGCAGGCAAGTAATGCAATAACTGGACAATGACCTGGGGTCAAGGAAATATTTTTGGTTTTATGTTTTGTTTGTTAGTAAACATGATCCAATACAGAGGAAGAAGATGATGATATAAGAAGAGGGATCATTATAGGATCCAAGTCCTCAAGAAGGTGGCACTGTCTGGGAACCAGTGGAAGGAAGGGCTGTCTGGAACCAGTGGGAGGGCAGGATTGGTGATAACTTATAGTGATAGAAGAAGGAGCAGAAGACCTGGGCACAGGTCCAGATAGGCTATTTGTTTTGGAGCTGGGGAAAAACAAGAAGGCATTATCTGATTTTTTGTTGTCAATAAAATAGGAAGCAAAGTTGTCAGCAGAGAAGTAGGGCAAGGGGATAAAATGAAGACTATAGTAGTGAGTTGTACTGAGTCTATTGCATTCTTATTCTGAAAATCACAGTATGAAGTCTGAGGCTTCTTGCTTTATAGAGGAAGCACACCACCTGGAACAGAGGAAAAAGACCAAAGTCAGCAATGCTGAAATAAGAAAATCCTACAAAAGCCTGAAGATCATTTCTATAGACACAGATCTGAGTAGCACAAAGTGAAATGAGAAATAGATCATTTCTATTTCTCATAATAGTAGCCCAAAGTGTATAAATCATCTTAGATATTGACAGTAAAGCATCCACAGAGCATTAGGCAGGAGAAGTGGAACCTGCTGACCACGGGAGAGTAATAGCAGTGCGATTCCCAAACTTGTATTTCCATATATGAAACATAGATATAATAGTATTTGCTGAGTTAGGTGACAAGTTCTGTAGTGGCCTTGGAGAAGCTGGTGGGAGGTAAAGCAGTGCAGGTAGGGGGCTTCTAGTGATGACTGAGAAAATGTACATTATCCAAATGAAGTGACAAAATAAGGAAATTCAAAGGAAATATAGCTATGGAATGAAGATTTGATAAACTATCAGGTTAAAAGAATTGTGAATACAAGTATGTATTTATAATCTATTTCAGGTGGCATTCTAAAAATATGTCACCAGTTAGGTATTTGCTTATGTTTTATTCATTCATACATTTTAAAAATCATATTACACAAATGTGTTGCATAAAATTAGTTTATATATAACAGTCACTTATATAGATACTACAACGTGTTTGGTGCAAAGAGCTTTATGTACATTAACTCATTTAATGGAAATGACAACTCTTTGACATATATACTGTTATTATACCCATCTTAAAGATAAGAGAATTGAAGCAAGAGACCTTCAAGGATCTCATTCCTAGCAATAGGTGAAGCTAAGGCTATAAATACAGACTGACTTTTACCTTCTATCCTGTGTTATCTTCTAATTACAGACATTCAGTTCAACAAGTACATTAACATAAGAAATCTAGGTAACAAAGTAGACAGAAGAAGTAGAGAGAAATTATTGTACCAGGACATTAGATTGGGCATGACTGCTGCCTGTGGATAAATTACAGTTTGTCCCAGTCTGCAGTGACAAATCGTGAGTGTTATGGGCTGAATCGTGACTCCTCAAAATTCATATGTTGAAGCCCTAAACCACAGTACACAAGAATATGACTGTTTGAAGCTGGGTCCTGTAAAGATATGGTTGGGTTATGAGGCCCTTAGGATGGGCACATACGAAGCCATTAGAATGGTCTCTTATGGGTTCTTATAAGAAGAGGAAATCTGGACAGACAGAAAGACATCAGGGATATGCATACAGAGGAAATGCCAAGTGGGAATGAATGCAACCCTATGGCAGCTGTCTGCAAGCCAAAGACAGACTTTAGGAGAAACCAAGCCTGACAATAAGTCTTGGACTTTGAGCCTCCAGAACTTTGATATTACAAATTCTCTTTCTTTAAGCAACCCAATGGGAGGTATTTTCTTTTTTTTATTATTATAGTTTAAGTTTTAGGGAACATGTGCACAATGTGAAGGTTTGTTACATATGTATACATGTGCCATGTTGGTGTGCTGCACCCATTAACTCTTCATATAACATTAGGTATATCTACTAATGCTATCCCTCACCCCTCCCCCGAGGCCACAACAGGCCCTTGTGTGTGATGTTCCCTTCCTGTGTCCATGTGTTCTCATTATTCAATTCCCACCTATGAGTGAGAACATGCAGCGTTTGGTTTTTTGTCCTTGCGATACTTTACTGAGAATGATGGTTTCCAGCTTCATCCATGTCTCTAAAAAGGACATGAACTCATCATTTTTTATGGCTGCATAGTATTCCACGGTGCATATGTGCCACATTTTCTTAATCCAGTCTATCATTGTTGGACATTTGGGTTGGTTCCAAGTCCTTGCTATTGTGAATAGTGCCGCAATAAACATATGTGTGCATGTGTCTTTATAGCAGCATGTTTTATAATCCTTTGGGTATATACCCAGTAATGGGATGGCTGGGTCAAATGGTATTTCTAGTTCTAGATCCCTGAGAAATTGCCACACTGACTTCCACAATGGTTGAACTAGTTTACAGTCCCACCAACAGTGTAAAAGTGTTCCTATTTCTCCACATCCTCTCCAACACCTGTTGTTTCCTGACTTTTTAATGATTGCCATTCTAACTGGTATGAGATGGTATCTCATTGTGGTTTTGATTTGCATTTCTCTGATGGCCAGTGATGATGAGCATTTTTCATGTGCTTTTTGGCTGCATAAATGTCTTCTTTTGAGAAGTGTCTGTTCATATCATTTGCCCACTTTTTGATGGGGTTGTTCGTTTTTTTCTTGTAAATTTGAGTTCATTGTAGATTCTGGATATTAGCCCTTTGTCAGATGAGGAGGTTGCAAAAATTTTCTCCCATTTTGTAGGTTGCCTGTTCACTCTGATGGTAGTTTCTTTTGCTGTGCAGAAGCTCTTTAGTTTAATTAGATCCCATTTGTCAATTTTGGCTTTTGTTGCCATTGCTTTTGGTGTTTTAGAAATGAAGTCCTTGCCCTTGCCTATGTCCTGAATGGTATTGCCTAGGTTTTCTTCTAGGGTTTTTATGGTTTTAGGTCTAACATGTAAGTCTTTAATCCATCTTGAATTAATTTTTGTATAAGGTGTAAGGAAAGGATCCAGTTTCAGCTTTCTACCTATGGCTAGCCAGTTTTTCCAGCACCATTTATTAAATAGGGAATCATTTCCCTATTGCTTGTTTTTGTCTTGTTTCTCAAAAATCAGATAGTTGTAGATATGCAGCATAATTTCTGAGGGCTCTGTTCTGTTCCATTGGTCTATATCGCTCTTTTGATACCAGTACCATTCTGTTTTGGTTACTGTATCCTTGTAGTATAGTTTGAAGTCAGGTAGCATGAAGCCTCCAGCTTAGTTCTTTTGGCTTAGGATTGACTTGGCAATGTTGGCTCTTTTTTGGTTCCATATGAACTTTAAAGTAGATTTTCCAATTCTGTGAAGAAAGTCATTGGTAGCTTGATGGGGATGGCATTGAATCTATAAATTATCTTGGGCAGTATGGCCATTTTCCTGATATTGATTCTTCCTACCCATGAGCATGGAATGTTCTTCCATTTGTTCGTATCCTCTTTTATTTCATTGAGCAGTGGTTTGTAGTTCTCCTTGAAGAGGTCCTTCATGTACCTTGTAAGTTGGATTCCTAGGTATTTTATTCTCTTTGAAGCAATTGTGAATGGGAGTTCACTCATGATTTGGCTCTCTGTTTGTCTGTTATTAGTGTATGAGAATGCTTGTGATTTTTGCACATTGATTTTGTATCCTGAGACTGCTGAAGTTGCCTATCAGCTTAAGGCGATTTTGAGCTGAGATGAAGGGGTTTTCTAGATATACAATCATGTCATCTGCAAACAGGGACAATTTAACTTCCTCTTTTCCTAATTGAATACCCTTTATTTCCTTCTTCTGCCTAATTGCCCTGGCCAGCACTTCCAACACTATGTTGAATAGGAGTGGTGAGAGACAGCATTCCTGTCTTGTGCCAGTTTCCAAAGGAATGCTTCCACTTTTTGTCCATTCAGTATGATATTGGCTGTGGTTTTCTCATAGATAGCTCTTATTATTTTGAGATACATCCCATCAATACTTAATTTATTGAGAGTTTTTAGCATGAATGGTTGTTGAGTTTTGTCAAAGGCCTTTTCTGCATCTATTGAGATAATCATGTGGTTTTTGTCTTTGGTTCTGTTTATATGTTGGATTACATTTATTGATTTGCATATGTTGAACTGGCCTTGCATCCCAGGGATGGAGCCCACTTGATCATGGTGGATAAGCTTTTTGATGTGCTGCTGGATTCAGTTAGCCAGTATTTTATTGAGGATTTTTGCATCGATGTTCATCAGTGATATTGGTCTAAAATTCTCTTTTTTCGTTGTGTCTCTGCCCGGCTTTGGTATCAGGATGATGCTGGCCTCATAAAATGAGTTAGGGAGGATTCCCTCTTTTTCTATTGATTGGAATAGTTTCAGAAGGAATGGTTCCAACTCCTCCTTGTACCTCTGGTAGAATTCGGCTGTGAATCCATCTTGTCCTGGACTTTTTTTGGTTGGTAAGCTGTTAATTATTGCCTCAATTTCATAGCCTGTTAGTGGTCTATTCAGAGATTCAACTTCTTCCTGGTTTAGTCTTGGGAGGGTGTATGTGTCAAGGAATTTATGCATTTCTTCTAGATTTTCTAGTTTTTTTTTTTTTGCGTAGAGGTGTTTGTAGTATTCTTTGATGGTAGTTTGCATTTCTGTGGGATCAGTGGTGATATTCCCTTTATCATTTTTTATTGCATCTATTTGATTCTTCTCTCTTTTCTTCTTCATTAGTCTTGCTAGCGGTCTATCAATTTTGTTGATCTTTTCCAAAAACCAACTCCTGGATTCATTAAATTTTTGAAGGGTTTTTTGTGTCTCTATTTCCTTCAGTTCTGCTCTGATCTTAGTTATTTCTTGCCTTCTGCTACTTTTGAATGTATTTGCTCTTGCTTCTCTAGTTCTTTTAACTGTGATGTTAGGGTGTCAATGTTAGATCTTTCCTGCTTTCTCTTGTGGGCATTTAGTGCTACGAGTTTCCCTCTACACACTGCTTTGAAAGTGTCCCAGAGATTCTGGTATGTTTTGTCTTTGTTCTCGCTGGTTTCAAAGAACATCTTTATTTCTGCCTTCATTTCCTTATGTACCCAGTCATCATTCAGGAGCAGGTTGTTCAGTTTCCATGTAGTTGAGTGGTTTTGAGTGAGTTTCTTAATCCTGAATTCTAGTTTGATTGCACTGTGGTCTGAGAGACAGTTTGTTATAATTTCTCTTCTTTTACATTTGCTGAGGAGTGTTTTACTTCCAAGTATGTGGTCAATTTTGGAATAGGTGTGGTGTGGTGCTGAAACGAATGTATATTCTGTTGATTTGGGGTGGAGAGTTCTGTAGATGTCTATTATGTCTGCTTGGTGCAGAGCTGAGTTCAATTCCTGGATATCCTTTTTAATTTTCTGTCTCATTGATCTGTCTAATGTTGACAGTGGGTTGTTAAAGTCTCCCATTATTATTGTGTGGGAGTCTAAGTCTCTTTGTAGGTCACTCAGGACTTGCTTTATGAATCTGGGTGCTCCTGTATTGGGTGCATATATATTTAGGATAGTTAGCTCTTCTTGCTGAATTGAGCCCTTTACCATTATGTAATGCCCTTCTTTGTCTCTTTTGATCTTTGTTGGTTTAAAGTCTGTTTTATCCAAGACTAAGATTGCAACCCCTGCCTTTTTTGTTTTCCATTTGCTTGGTAGATCTTCCTCCATTCCTTTATTTTGAGCCTATCTTATGTGTCTCTACATGTGAGATGTGTTTCCTGAATAGAGCACACTGATGGGTTTTGACTCTTTGTCCAATTTGCCAATCTGTGTCTTTTAAATGGGCATTTAGCCCATATACATTTATGGTTAATATTGTTATCTGTGAATTTCATCCTATCATTATGATGTTAGCTGGTTATTTCGCTCATTAGTTGATGCAATTTCTTCCTAGCATTGATGGTCTTTACAATTTGGCACGTTTTTGCAGTGGCTGGTACCGGTTGTTCCATTCCATGTTCAGTGCTTCCTTCAGGAGCTCTTGTAGGGCAGGTCTGGTGGTTACAAAATCTCTCAGCATTTGCTTGTCTGTAAAGAATTTTATTTCTCCTTCACTTATGAAGCTCGGTTTGGCTGGATATGAAATTCTGGGTTGAAAATTCTTTTCTTTAAGAATGTTGAATATTGGCCCCCAACAGGTGCAGAGAGATCACCTGTTAGTCTGATGGGCTTCCCCTTATGGGTAACCTGACCTTTCTCTCTGGCTGCCCTTAACATTTTTTCCTTCATTTCAACTTTGGTGAATCTGACAATTGTATGTCTTGGAGTTGCTCTGTGGTTGTTCTCTGTATTTCCTGAATTTGAATGTTGGCCTGCCTTGCTAGATTGGGGAAGTTCCCCTGAATAATATCCTGCAGAGTGTTTTCCAACTTGGTTCCATTCTCCCTGTCTCTTTCAGGTACACCAATCAGACGTAGATTTGGTCTTTTCACATAGTCCCATATTTCTTGGAGGCTTTATTCTTTTTCACCATAGGCCTAAATTCACTCCCAAATATCCCTTTGCAGATTCTACAAAAAGTGTTTCCAAACTGCTGCTGGCAAAGTAAGGTTTTACTCTGTGCGGTGAATGCACACATCAAAAAGGAGTTTCTCAGGATGCCTCTTTTTAGTTTTTATCTGAAGATATTATCTTTTTCAGCATAGGCCTCAATGTGCTCCCAAATATCCCTCCACAGATTCTTCAAAACAGTTTTGAATTAAAAGAAATGTTTAACTCTGTGTGATAAATGCACACATCACAAAGCCATTTCTGAGAAAGTTTCTTTCTATTTTTTATCTGAAGTTAATTTCTTTTCACCTCAATGTGCTCCCAAATATCCCTTCACAGATTCTTAAAAAGCAGTGTTTCCAAACTGATGAATGAAAAGAAACTTTTAACTGTGCAACATGAATGCACACTTCACAAAGTTGTTTCTCAGATAAATTCCTTCTAGGTTTTATCCTGGGATATTCTTTTTTTTTGTCATTGGCATCGATGAGCTCCCAAATGTAGATTCAGAGAATGGATGACAACAGTGTTTCCAAACTGCTAAATCAAAAACTTTTAACTCTGTGAGTTGAATGCAAAAATCATAATGCATATTAACAGGTAACATTCTTCTAGTTTTTATCCTGGTATATTCGCTTTTTCACCATTGGCCTCAAGGATCTCCCAAATGTCCATTCACAGAATTGTCAAAAAGTGTTTCCAAACTGCTGAATTAAAAGACAGTTTTAACTCTGTGAGATGAATACACACATTACAAAGCAGTTTCTCAGAAACCTTCTTTCTACTTTTTATCTGAAGATGTTTTCTTTTTCACCGTAGGCCTCAATGCACTCCCACATATTCATTCACAGATTCTACAAAAACAGTGTTTCAAAAATACCAAATAAAAGGAAAGGTTTAACTCAGAGAGGTGAATTCACACCTCACAAAGCAGTTTCTCAGGTAGCTTCCTTCTAGTTTGTATCCCTGGATATTTGCTTTTTCACCAGTGGACTCAATGAGCTCCCAAATGTCCATTCACAGAACAGACAAAAACAGTGTTTACAAACTGCTGAATCAAAAGAAATGTTTAACTCTGTGAGATGAATGCAGACATCACAAAGCAGTTTCCCAGAAACCTTCCTTCTAGTTTTAATGTGAAGATATTTTCCTTTTCACCATAGGCCTCAATGAGCTCCCATATATCCCTTTGCAGATTCTACAAAAACAGTGTTTCCAAACTGCTGAATGAAAAGAAAGGTTTATCTCTGTGAGATGAATGCTCATATCACAAAGCAGTTTCTCAGATAGCTTAATTCTAGTTTTTATCCTGGGATATTCGCATTTTCACCATTGGCCTTGATGAGCTCCCAAATATCCTTTTACAAAATGGACAAAAACAGTGTTTCCAAATGGCTAAATGAAAAAGAAAAGTTTAACTCTGCAAGATGAATGCACATCACAAAACAATTTCTCAGAAAGCTTCTTTCTAGTTTTAATCTGAAGATATTTACTTTTTGACCATAGGCTTTAATGCAGGTCCAAATATCCCTTCTCATATTTCACAAAAACAGTGTTTCCAAACTGCTTAATGAAGAGGAAGTTTTAACTCTTCGAGATGAATACCCACATCACAAAGCAGTTTCTGAGAGAGGTTCCTTCTAGTATTTATCCTGGGATATTCTCTTTTTCACCTTTACCTCAATGAGCTCCCAAATGTCCATTCACTCAATGGAGAAAAACAGTGTATACAAACTGCTCAGTAAAAAGAAAGGCTTAACTCTGTGAGATGAATGCACAAATCACATAGTGTGTTCTCAGTTAGCTTCCTTCTAGTTTTTATCCTGGTATATTCACTTTTTCGCCATTGGTCTCAATGAGCTCCCAAATGTCCATTTGCAGAATGTTCAAAAACAGTGTTTCCAAGCTGCTGAATTAAAAGAAATGGTTAACTCTGTGAAATGAGTGCACACATCACAAAGCAGTTTCTCAGAAAGCTTCTTTCTACATTTTATCTGAAGATTTTTTTCGCCATAGGTCTCCTTGCACTCCAAAATATCCCTTCACAGATTCTATGAAAACAGTGTGTGCAATCTGCTGAATGAGAAGTAAGCTTTATCTCTGCAAGATGAATGCACACATCACAAAGCAGTTTCTCAGATAGCTTCTTTTTGTTTTTATCCTGAGATATTCAGTTTTTCACCATTGGCCTCAATGAGCCACAAACTGTCCATTCGCTGAATGGACAAAAACACTGGTTCAAACTGCTGAATCAAAAGAAAGGTTTAATTCTGTGAGATGAATGTGCAAATCAAAAAGCACTTTCTCAGAAAGCTTCCTTCGACTTTTTATCTGAAGATATTTTCTTTTTCACCATAGCCTCAATGCACACCCAAATATCCCTTCAAAGACTATACACAGTGTTTCCAAACTGCTGAATGTGTAGAAAGGTTTAACTGTGGGATGAATGCACACATCACAAAGTGGTTTCTCAGATAGCTTCCTTAAATTTTTATCCTGGGATATTCACTTTTTCTCCATTGGCCTCAATGAGCTCCTAAATATCCATTCACATCATGAACAAAAACAGTGTTTCCAAACTGTTGAATCAAAAGTATGATTTGACACTGTGAGATGAGTTCACACATCACCAAGCAGTTTGTCAGAAAGCTTCTTTCTAGTTTTTGTCTGAAGACATTTTCTTTTTCACCATAGGCCTCAATCTACTCTGAAATATCCCTTAACAGATTCTACAAAAACAGTGTTTCCAAATTGCTGAATGAGAAAAAAGGATTAACTCTGAGAGATGAAGGCATGCAACACAAAGTGGTTTCTCAGATAGCATCCTTGCAGTGTTTATACAGGGATATGTGCTTTTTTGCCATTGGCCTAAATCAGCTACAAAATGTGCATTTGCAGAATGGACAAAAAGAGTGCATCCAAACTACTGAATGAAAAGAAATGTTTACCCCTGACATGAATGCAAACATCACACAGCAGTTTCTCAGAAAGATTCCTTCTACTTTTTTTCTTAAGGTATTTTCTTTTTCACCATAGATCTCAATGCACTCCCAAATATCCCTTCACAGATACTATAAAAACTGTTTTTCCAAACTGCTGAATGAAAAGAAAGGTTTACCTCTACTAGGTGAATGCACACATCACAAAGCGGTTTCTCAGATAGCTTCCTTGGAGTTTTTATCCTGAGATATTCCCTTTTTCTCCATTGGCCTCATTGAGCTCCCAAATATCCATTCACAGCATGAAGAAAAACAGTGGTTCAAAACTGTTGAATTAAAAGAAAGGATTAATTCTGTGAGATGAATGGACACGTTACAAGGAGTTCCTCAGAAAGCTTCATTCTAATTTTTATCTGAAGATCTTTTTCACCATAGGGCTCAATGTGCTCCTAAATATCCCTTCGCAGAATGGACAAAAAGAGTGTTTCAAAACTATTGAATCAAAAGAAAGAATTAACTCTGTGAGATGAATGCACACATCACAAATTAGTTTCTCAGGATGCTTCTTTCAGTTTTTATATGAAGATGTTTACTTTTTCACCATAGGACTCAATGGGTTACAAAATATCCCTTAGCAGATTCTACAAAAGCAGTGTTTCCAAACTGCTGAATCAAAAGAAAGGATTAACTCTGTGAAATGAATGCACACATCACAAAGTGGTTTCTGAGATAGCTTCCTTGAAGTTTTTATCCTGGGATATTCACTTTTTCCCCATTGGCTTAAATGAGTTCCCAAATGTCCATTTGCAGAGTGGAGAAAAACAGTGTTTTCAAGCTGTTGAATCAAAAGAAAGTCTTAACTCTGTGAAATGAGTTCACACATCACCCAGCAGTTTGTCAGAAAGCTTCTTTCTAGTTTTTATCTGAAGATATTTTCTTTTCCACCATAGGCCTAAATGCACTCTGAAATATCCCTTAACAGATTCTACAAAACCAGTGTTTTCAAACTACTGAATGGGAATAAAGGATTAACTCTGCATGATGAATGCAAACATCATAAAGCTGTTTCTCAGATAACTTCCTTATATTGTTTATCCTGGGATATTCGATTTTTCACCATTGGCCTCAATGAACCCCCAAATTTCCATTTGCAGAATGGATGAAAACAGTGTTTCCTAACAGCTGAATCAAAAGAAAGTTTTAACTCTCTGAGATGAATGCACCCATCACAAAGCAGTTTCTCAGAATGCTTCTTTCTAGTTTTTATATGAAGATATTTTCTTTTTCTCCATAGTCCTCAATGCACTCCAAAATATCCCTTCACAGATTCTACAAAAACAGTGTTTCCAAACTGCTGAATGAAAAGAAAGGTTTAACTCTGCCTGATGAATGCACACATCACAAAGCAGTTTCTCAGATACGTTCCTTCTAGTTTTTACCCTGGGATATTTGCTTTTTTGCCTTTGGTCTCAATTAGCTACCAAATCTCCATTTGCAGAATGAAAAAAAAAACAGTGTTTCCAGACTGCTGAATCAAAAGAAAGGTTGAATTCTGTGAGGTGAATGCACTCATTACAGAGCACTTTCTCAGAAAGCTTCTTTCTACTTTTTATCTTAAGACATTTTCTTTTTCACCATAGGTCTCAATGCACTCCCACATAGCCCTTCGCAGATTCTACAAAAACAGTGTTCCAAAACTGCTGAATGAAAAGAAAGGTTTAACTCTGTGAGATGAATGCACTCATTACAAATCAGTTTCTCAGATGCCTTCATTGTAGTTTTTATCCTGGGATATTTGCTTTTTCTCCATTGGCCTCAATGAGTTCTGAAATGTCCGTTTGCAGAATGGACAAAAACAGTGTTTCCAAACTGCTGAATCAAAAGAAAGTTTTAACACTGTGAGATGAATGCATACATCACAAAGCAGTTTCTCAGAAAGCTTCTTTCTACCTATTATCTTAAGATATTTTCTTTTTAAACATAGGTCTCAGTGTGCTCCCAAATATCCCTATGCAGATTCTGCAAAAACAGTGTCTTCAAACTGCTGAATGTAAAGAAAGGTTCAATTCTGTGAGATGAATGCACACTTCACAATGTGGTTTCTTAGATGGCTTCCATGAAGTTTTTATCCTGGGATATTCACTTTTTATCCATTGGTCTCAATGAGCTCCGAAATGTCCATTCGCAGAATGGACAGAAACAGTGTTTCCATATTATTGAATCAAAAGACAGGTTTAACTCTGTGAGGTGAATGTGCACATCACAAAGAACTTTCTCAGAAAGCTTCTCTCTAGTTTTTATTTGAAGATACATTGTTTTTCACCAAAGGCCTCAATGCACTATGGAATATCCTTTGCAGATTCTACAAAAACAGCATTTCCAAACTGCTGGAACAAAAGAAATGTTGAATTCTGTGAGGTGAATGCAACCATCACAGAGTACTTTCTCAGAAAGCTTCTTTCTACTTTTTATCTTAAAATATTTTCTTTTTCACCATAGGTCTCAATGCATTCCCAAATATTTCTTCACAGATTCTACAGAAACAGTGTTTCCAAACTGCTGAATGTAAAGAAAGGTTTATCTGTGCAAGATGAATGCACACATCCAAAAGCAGTTTCTCAGATAGATTCCTTACAGTTTTTATCCTGAGATATTCACTTTTTCTCCATTGACCTCAATGAGCTCCAAAATGTCCATTTGCAGAATGGAGAAAAGCAGTGTTTCCAAACTGCTGAAACAAAAGAAATTTTTACTCTGTGAGATGAATGCACACATCACAAAGCAGTTTCTCAGAAAGCTTCTTTTTAGATTTATGTGAAGATATTTACATTTCCACCAGAGGCCTCAATGGGCTCCCAAATATCCCTTTGCAGATTCTACAAAAACAGTGTTTCCAAACTTCTGAAAGAAAACATAAGTTAAACTCTATGAGATGAATGCCCACATCACACAGCAGTTTCTCACATACCTTCCTTGTACTTTTTATCCTGTGATATTCCCTTTTTCTCTATTGGCCTTAATGAGCTCCCAAATGTCCATTCTCAGAATGGACAAAAACAGTGTTTCCAAACTGTTGAATCAAAAGAAAGCTTTACCTCTGTGAGATGAAAGCACACATTACAAAGCAGTTTCTCAGAAAGCTTCTGTCTAGTTTTTATCTGAAGATATTTTCACCATAAGCCTCAATGTGCTCCAAAATATTCCTTCACATATTCTACAAAACAGTGTCTCCAAACTCCTGGATCAACAGAAAGGTTTAACTCTGTGAGGTGAATGCACCCATCACAGAGGAGTTTCCCAGAAAGCTTCTTTCCACTTTTTATGTTAACATATTTTCTTTTTCACCATAGGACTCAATGCGCTCCCAAATATCCCTTTGCAGATTCTCCAAAAACAGTGTTTCCAAACCGCTGAATGAAAAAAAAAGGTTTAAATCTGCGAGATGAATGTACTCATCACCAAGCAATTTCTCAGATAGCTTCATTGTAGTTTTTATCTTTAGATATTCGCTTTTTCTCCATTGGCCTCAATGAGTTCCCAAATGTCCATTCACAGAATGGACAAAAACAGTGTTTCCAAACAGTGGAATAAAAAGAAAGGTTTAACTCTGTGAAATAAGTGCCCACATTACAAAGCCTTTTGTCAGAGAGTTTCTTTCTAGTTTTTATCTGAAGATATTTTCTTTTTCACCAGAGGCCTCAATGCACTCAGAAATATACCTTAACAGATTCTACAAAAACAGGGTTTCCAAACTGCTGAATGAGAAGAAAAGATTAACTCTGGGAGATGAATGCGTACATCACAAAGTGGTTTCTCAGACAGCTTCCTTCTAGTGTTTATCCTGGGATATTTGATTTTTCGCCATTGGCCTCAGTGAGCTCCCAAATGTCCACTCACAGAATCAACAAAAACAGTGTTTCCAAAATGCTGAATCAAAAGAAAGTTTTAACTCTATGTGACAAAAACACAAATCACAAAGCAATTTCTCAGAAAGCTTCTTTCTAGTTTTCATCTGAAGATATTTTCTTTTTCACCATGGGCCTCAATGAGCACCAAAATATCCGTTTGCAGATTCTACAAAAACAGTGTTTCCAAACTACTGAATGAAAAGAAAGGTTTACCCCAGTGAAATGAATGCAGAAATCACAAAGTGGTTTCTCAGATACATTCCTTCTAGTTTTTTCCCTGGGATATTTGCTTTTTTGCCATTGGCCTCAATCAGCTACGACTGTCCATTTGCAGAATGGACAAAAACATTTTTTCCAAACTCTTATATCAATATAAATGTTTAACTCTGTGAGGTGAATGCACCCATCAAAAAGCACTTTCTCAGAAAGCTTCTTTCTGCTGTTTATCTTAAGATATTTTCTTTCTACTGTTTATCTTAAGATATTTTCTTTTTCACCAATTCACTCCCAAATATTTCTTTGCAGATTGTACAAAAAGAGTGTTTCCAAACTGCTGAATGAAAAGAAAGGTTTAGCTCTGTGAGATGAATGTGCACATCACAAAGCAGTTTCTCAGAAAGCTTCTTTTCAGTTTTTATATGAAGATATTTACTTTTTCATCATTGGTCCAATGGGCTCCCAAATATCCCTTCATAGATTCTACAAAAACAGTCTTTCCAAACTGCTGAATCTTAAAAAGGTTTTAACTCTGTGAGATGAATGCACCCATCACAGAGAAGTTTATCAGAAAGCTTCTTTCTACTTTTTATCTTAAGATGCTTTCTTTTTCACCATAGGTCTCAAGATGCTCCCAAATATCCCTTCACAGATTCTACAAAAGCAGTGTTTCCAAATTACTCAATCAAAAGAAATGTTTAACTCTGCTAGATGAATGCACACATCACAAAGCAGTTTCTCAGATAGCTTCCTTGAAGTTTTTATCCTGAGATATTTGCTTTTCATCCATTGGCCTCAATGAGCTCCCAAATGTCCATTTGCAGAATGGACAAAATCAGTGTTTCCAAGCTGTTGAATTAAAAGAAAGGTTTAAATCTGTGAGATGAAAACACACATCATAAAGCAGTTTCTAAGAAAGCTTCCTTGTAGTATTTATCTGAAGATATTTTCTTTTTCACTATAGGCTTCAACGTGCTCTGAAATGTCCATTTACAGATTCTACAAAAACAGTGTTTTCAAACTGCTGAATTAAAAGGAAGATTTAATTCTTCAAGATGAATGCACAAATCACAAAGTGGTTTCTCAGATAGCTTCTTTCTAGATTTACCCTGGGATATTTGCTTTTTTACCATTGGCCTCAATCAGCTACCATATAGCTGATTGGAAGATAGCTTCCTTCTCATTTTTGTGCCAGGTTATTCCCGTATTCACCATAGGCTTCATTGAGCTCCCGGATGCCCATTCATAGAATGGACAAAAACAGTGTTTCCAAACTGCTGAATCAAAACAAAGGTTTAACTCTTCACTATAAATCCGCACATCACAAAGTAGTTTCTCAGAAAGCTTCTCTCTAGTTTTTTTCTGAAGATATTTTCTTTTCCACCATCTGCCTCAATACACTCCCAAATAATGCCTTTGCAGATTCTACAAAAACAGTGTTTCCAAACTGCTGAATGAAAAGAAAGTTTTATCTCTGAGAGATGAATGAACACATCAATTAGCGGTTTTTCAGATAGCTTCCTTCTAGTTTTTATCCTGGGATATTATCTTTTTTGCCTTTGGCTTCAAAGAGCTCCCAAATGTCCATTCACAGAATGGACAAAAACAGTTTTCTAAACTGCTGACTCAACATAAATTTTTAACTCTGGGAGATGAATGCACACATCATAAACCAGTTTCTCAGAAACCTTCTTTCTACTTTTTATTTGAAGATATTTTCTTTTTCAGCATAGATCTCGAAGCACACACAAGTATACCACACAGATTCTAAAAAACAGTTTTTCCGAACTGCTGAATGAAAAGAAAGTTTTACCTCTGCGAGTTGAGTGCACACATTACAATGCAGTTTCTCAGATAGCTTCCTTCTAGTTCTTTTCTTGGGATATTCGCTTTTTTGCCTTTGGCCTCAATTAGCTCCCAAATGTCCATTCACAGAATTGACAAAAACGGGTTCCAAACTGCTTAATGAAAAGTACAATTTAAAGCTGTCAGATTAATGTACAAATCACAAAGAAGTTTCTCAGAAAGCATCTTTCTAGTTTTTATCTGAAGATATTTTCTATTTCACCATAGGCCTTCAGACACTCTAAAATATCCCTTTGCATATTCTACAAAAAGAGTGTTTCCAAATTGCTGAATGAAAAGAAAGGTTTACCTTTGTGAGATGAATGTACACATCACAAAGTGGTTTCTCAGATAGGTTCCTTCCAGCTTTTATCCTACGGTATTTGTTTTTTCACCATTCCCTTCAATGAGCTAGAAAAATGTCCATTAACTGAATGGAAATAAACAGTGTTTCCAAAGTGCTGAATCAAAAGAAAAGTTTATCTCTGTGAGATGAATTCACACATCTCAAATGAGTTTCTCAGAAAGCTTCTTTCTAGTTTTTATCTGAAGATATTTTCTTTTTCATCATAGGCCTCAAAGTGCTCTGAAACATCCCATCACAGATTCTACAAAAACAGTGTTTCCAAACTGCTGAATGAAAAGAAACGTTTAACTTTGTGAGATGAATGCACAGCTTGCAAAGCAGTTTCTCAAATCGGATTCTTCTAGCTTTTATCTTGTGGTATTCACTTTTTCATCATTGGCCTGAATGATCTCCCAACTGTCCATTTGCTGAATGGACAATAACAGTGTTTCCAAACTACTGAATCAAAAGAAAGTTTTAACTATGGGAGATGAATGCACACATCACAAAGCAGTCTCTCAAAAGCTTTTTTCTACTTTTTATTTGAAGATATTTTCTTTTCTGCCATAGGCCTCATTGCGCTCTAAAATATCCCTTCACTGGTTGTACAAAAAAAGTGTTTCCAAACTACTGAATGAAAAGAAAGCTTTAAATCTGCCTGATAAATGCAAACGTCACAAAGGAGTTTCTAAGAAAGCTTCTTTCTAGTTTTTATCTGAAGGTATTTTCTTTTTCACCACAGGCCTCAAATCAATCCCAAATATTCCTTCGTGGATTCTACAAATCAGTGTTTCCAATTTGCTGATAAAGGAAAGGTTTATTTCTGTGAGATGAATGCACACATCAAAACATGGTTTCTCAGATAGCTTCCTTCTAGTTTTTATCCTGGGATATTTGCTTTTTCACCATTTGCCTCAATGAGCTTCCAAATGTATATTTGCAGAATGGACAAAAACAGTGTTTCCAAACTTCTGAATCAAAAGAAAGTTTTAACTCTGTGAGATCAATGCACACATCACAAAGTAGTTTCTCAGAAAGCTTCTTTGTACTTTTAATCTGAAGCTATTTTCTTTTTCATACGAGGCCTCATTGTGCTCCCAAATAACCCTTTGTAGATCTTACAAAAACTGTGTTTCCAAGCTCCTGAATGAAAAGTAAGTTTTAACTCTGCGAGATGAATGCACACATCATAAAGCCATTTTTCAGATACCTTCCTTCTAGTTTTTATCCTGGGATATTTGCTTTTGTACCATTGGCCTCAATGAGCACCCAAATGTCCATTCACAGAATGGACAGAAACAGTTTTTTTATTCTGTTGAATCAAAAGAAAGTTTTAATTCTGAATTTATTTTGTTTTTCATCATAGACCACAATGTGCTCCCAATGTCCCATGCCAGATTCTAGGAAAACAGTGTTTCCAAACTGCTGAATGGAAAGGAAATTTTAACTCTGAGATGAATGCACACACCACAAAGTGGTTTCTCAGATAGCTTCCTTGAAGTTTTTATTGTGGGATATTGAGGGCAGTGGCAAAAAAGTGAATATCCCAAGATAAAAACTAGAAGGAAGCTATCTAAGAAAACTCTTTGTCATGTGAGCATTCATCTCACAGAGTTAAACCTTTCTTTCATTCAGCAAATGGAAACACTGTTTCTGTAGAATCTGTGAAGGGAAATTTGGGAGAGCCTTGAGGCCTACAGAGAAAAAGAAATATCTTCAGATAAACACTAGAAAGGAGCTTTCTGAGAAACTGCTTTGTGATGTGTGTATTCATCTCACAGAGTTAAGCATTTCTTTTGATTCAGCACTTTGGAAACACTGTTTTTGTCCCTTCTGTGAATGGTCTTTTGGGAGCTCATTGAGGCCAATGGAAAAAAGTGAATATCCCAGGACAAAAACTCTACAGAAATTACTTGAGAAACAGTTTTGTGATGTGTACATTCATCTTGCAGAGTTAAACCTTTCTTTTCATTTGGCAGTTTGGAAACACTGTTTTTGTAGAATCTGCAAAGGGATATTTGGGAGCATATTGTGGTCTATGGTGAAAAAGAAAGATCTTCAGATAAAAAGCTGAAAGAACCTCTCTGGGAGACTGATTTTTGATGTGAGCATGCATCTGATAGAGTTAAATCTTTCTTTTGATTCAGCAGCTTGGAAACACTGTTTTTGTCCATTCTGCGTATGGACATTTGGGAGCTCACTGAGGTCAATGGCAAAAAAGCAGATATCCCAGCATAAAAAATAGAAGGAAGCTATCTGAGAAACTGCTTTCAGATGTGTGCATTCATCTCACAGAGTTAAATCTTTCTTTTCATTCAGCAGTTTGGAAACACTGTGTTTGTAGAATCTGTGAAGAGATTTTTTGGAGCTCATTGAGGCCTATGGTGAAATAGAAAATATCTTCAGATAAAAACTAGAAAGAACCTTTCTGGGAAATGGCTCTGTGATGTGTTCATTCATCTCAAAGAGTTAAACACTTTATTTGATGCAGCAGTTTGGAAAAACTCTTTTTGTCAATTCTGTGAATGGACATTAGGGGGATCATTGAGGCCAATGGTGAAAAAGTGAATATCCCAGAATAAAAACTAGAAGGAAGCTGTCTGAGAAACTGCTTTGTGATGTGTGCATTCACATCATGGAGGTAAATTTTCCTTTTCATTCAGTAGTTTGGAAACACTGTTTTTGTACAATATTTGAAGGGATATTTGGGAGTGCATTGAGGTCTATGGTGAAAAAGAAAATATCTTGAGACAAAAAGTAGAAATAAGATTTCAGAGAAACTTCTTTGTGATGTGGGCGTTCTTCTTATAGAGTTTAACCTTCCTTTTGATTCAGCAGTTTGGAAAAACAGTTTTTCTCTTTTCTGCAAAGGGACATTTGGGAGCTCATTGAGGGCAATGGAGAAAAAGTGAATATCCCAAGATAAAAACTAGAAGGAAGCTATATAAGATAACTCTTTGTGATGTGTACATTCATGTCACAGAGTTAAACCTTTCTTTCATTCAGCAGTTGGAAACACTGTTTTTGTAGACTCTGTGAAGGGATATTTCAGAAAGCATTGAGGCCTATGGTGTAACAGAAAATATCTTCAGATAAAACAAGAAGGAAGCATTCTGAGGAACTGCTTAGTCATGTGTGCATTCATCTCACAGAGTTAAAACATTCTATTGATTCAGAAATTTGGAAATACTGTTTTTTGTGCATTCTGAGAATGGACATTAGGGAGCTCATTAAGACCGTTGGTGAAAAAGTCAATATCCCGTGATAAAAACTAGAAGTAAGCTATCTGAGAAACTGCTTTGGGATGCATGAGTTTATATCACAGAGTTAAACCTTTCTTATCATTCAGCAGTTTGGAAAGACTGTTTTTGTAGAATCTGTGTAGTTATATTTGGGAGCACATTGAGGCCTATGGTGAAAAAGAATATATCTTCAGATGAAAACTGAAAAGAAGCTTTCTGAAAAACTGCATTTTGATGTGTGCATTCATCTCACAGATTTAAACCTTTCTTCTGTTTCAGCAGTTTTGAAAACCCTGTTTTTGTCCATTCTGTGAATGGAGATTTGGGAGCTCTTTGAGGCCAATGGCAAAAAATGGAAAATCCCAGTATAAAAATTAGAAGGAAGATATCTGAGAAACCTCTTTCTGATGTGTGCATTCATCTCGCAGAGCTAAACCTTTCTTTCATTCAGCAGTTTGGAAACACTGTTTATGTAGATTCTGCAAAGGGGTAATTGGGAGAGCATTGAGGCCAATCATGAAACAGAAAATATCTTCAGATAAAACTAGAAGGAAGCTCTCTGAGAAACGGCTTTGTGATGTTTGCATTCATCTCACAGAGTTAAAACTTTGTTTTGATTCAGCAGTTTGGAAATACTGTTTTTCTCCATTTTGTGAATGGACATCAGGGAGATCATTCAGTCCAATGGTGAAAAAGTGAATATCCCAGGATAAAAACTAGAAGTAAGCTATCTGAGAAACTGCTTTGTTATGCTTGCATTCATCTCACAGAGTTAAACCTTTTTTTCATTCAGCAGTTTGGAAACACTGTTTTGGTAGAATCTGAAAAGTTATATTTGGGAGCGCATTGAGGCCTGTGTTGAAAAAGAAAATATATTCAGATAAAAACTAAAAAGAACCTTTCTGTGAAACTGCTTTTTGATGTGTGCATTCATCTCACAGAGTTAAACCTTTCTTTTGTTTCAGCAGTTTGGAAAATGTTGTTTCTGTCCAACATGCAAATGGACATTAGGGAGCTCATTAAGGCCAATGGTGAAAAAGTGAATATCCCAGGATAAAAACTAGAAATAAGCTATCTGAGAAACCACTTTGTGATGCATGCATTCATCTCATAGAGTTAAACCTTTCTTTCCATTCATCAGTTTGGAAACACTGTTTTTGTAGAATCTGTCAAAGGATATTTGGGAGCGTATTTAGGCTTATGTTGAAAAAGAAAATAACTTCAGATAAGAAGTAGAAAGAAGATTTCTGAGAAACTGCTTTGTGATGTGTGCATTTATCTCACAGAGTTAAACCTTTCTTTTCCTTCAGCAGTTATGAAACAGTTTTAGTCCATTCTATGAATGGACTTTAGGGAGCTCATTGACGCCATTGGTGAAACAGTGAATATCCCAGCAGAAAAACAAAAGGAAGCTATCTTAGAAACTGCTTTGTGATGTGTGAATTCATCTCACAGAGTTAAACCTTTCTTTTCATTCAGCAGTTTGGAAACTATATTTTGTACAATCTGTGAATTTGGGAGACCATTGAGACCTCTGGTGAAAAAGAAAGTGTCTTCAGACAAAAAGGAGAAAGAAGATTTCTGAGAAACTGCTTTGAATGTGTGCATTCATATCACAGAGTTTAACATTTCTTTTGGTTTAGCAGTTTCAAAACACTGTTTTTGTCCATTCTGCGAATGGACATTTGGGAGCTCATTGAGGCCAATGGCAAAAAAGTGAATATCCCAGGATAAAAACTGGAAGGAAGCACTCTGAGAAACTGCTTTGTGATGCATACATTCATCTTGCATAGTTAAACCTTTGTTTTCATTCATCAGTTTGGAAACACTGTTTTTGTAGAATCTGCAAAGTGATATTTGGGAGCAAATTGAAACCTATCGTGAAAAAGAAAATAAATTCAGATAAAAATAAGAAAGAAGCATTCTGAGAAACTGCTTCATGATGTGCACATTCATCTCACAGTGTTAAACCTTTATTTTGATTCAGCAGTTTGGAAACACTGTTTTTGTCCATTCTGAGAAAGGACATTTTGGAAATCATTGAGGGCAATGGCAAAAAAGGGGAATATCCAAGGATAAAAACTAAAAGGAAGCTAGGAGGGAAACTGCTTTGTAATGTGTGCATTCATCTCACAGATTTAAACCTTTCTTTTCCTTCAGCAGTTTAGAAACAATGTTTTTGTAGAATCTTCAAAGGGATATTTCAGAGTGCCCTGAGGCCTATGATGAAAAAGAAAATATCTTCAGATAAAACATAGAAAGAAGACTTCTGAAAACTGCTTTGTGATATGTGCATTCATCTCACAGAGTTAAAATTTTCTTTTGATTCAGCAGTTTGTAAACACTGCATTTGTCCATTCTGTGAATGTACACTTAAGAGCTCATAGAGCCAAAAGTGAAAAACAAATTATCATTAGATAAATACTAGAAAGAAGCTTGGCAAAAAAGCATATATCACAGGACAAAACCTAGAAGAAAACTATCTGAGAAACTGCTTTGAGATGTGTGCATTTATCTCGCTGCGTTAAAACTTTCTTTTCATTCAGCAATTTGGAAGCAGTGTTTTTGTAGAAGCTGCGAAGGGATATTTGGGAGTGCATTTAGGCCTGTGGTGAAAAAAAAATATTCTCAGATAAAAATCAGAAAGAAGATTTCTGAGAAACTGCTTTGTGATATGTGCATTCATCTTATGGAGTTTAAAGTTTCTCTTGATTCGGCAGTTTGGAAACAGTCTTTCTGTTTATACTGTGAATGTGCATTTGGGAACTCATTTAGACCAATGGCAAAAAAGTGAATATTCCAGGATAAAAACTAGAAGGAAGTTATCTGAGAAACTGCTTTGTGTTATATGCATTCATCTCACAGAGTTAAAACTTTCTTTTCATTCAGCAGTTTGGAATCACTGTTTTTTTAGAATCTGTGAATGGATATTTTGGAACACATTGAGGCTCCAAATGGTAAAAAAGAATGGTAAAAAAAGAAAATATCTTGAGATAAAAATTAGAAAGAAGCTTTCTGAGAAACATCACAATGATGTGTGCATTCATCTCACAGAGTTAAAATTTTCTTTTGTATCTTCAGTTTGGAATCACTGTTTTTCTCCATTCTGTGAATGGACATTTGGGAACTCATTGAGGCCAATGGTGAAAAGCAAGTATCTTAGGATAAAAACTAGAAAGAAGCTTTCTGAAAAAATGCTTTGTGATGTGTGCATTCATCTTGCAGATTTAAACTTTTCTTTTCATTCAGCAGTGTGGAAACACAGTTTTTCTACAATCTCCGAAGTAGTATTTTGGAGGGCTTTAAGGCCTATAGTGAAAAAGATAATATATTCTGATAAAAAATAGAAAGAAACTTCCTGAGAAATTATTTGTGATGGGTGCATTCATCTCAAAGAGTTAAACCTTTCTTTTGATTCAGCAGTTTGGAAACACTGTTTTGTATAATCTGCAAAGGGATATTTGGGAGTGCCTTGAGACCTATGGTGAAAAAGAAAATATTCTCAGATAAAAAAGTAGAAAGAAGATTTCTGGGAAACTGCTTTGTGATGTGTGCCCTCATCTTACACAGTTAAACCTTTCTTTTCATTCAGCAGTTTGGAAAAACTGTTTTTGTTTATACTGCAAATGTACATTTTTGAATTCATTTAGGCCAATGACAAAAAAGTGAATATCCCAACATAAAAACTAGAAGGAAGCTATCTGAGAAACTGCTTTGCGTTGTGTGCGTTCATCTCACAGAGTTAAACCTTTCTTTACATTCAGCAGTTTTGAAACACTGTTTGCATAGAATCTGTGAAGGGATATTTGGGAGTGCATTGAGGCCTATGGGGAAAAAGAAATTATCTCAGATAAAAAAGTAGGAAGAAGCTTTCTGAGACACCACTTTTTGATGTTTGCATTTCATTTTACAGAGTTAAACCTCTCTTTGCATTCGGCAGTTTTGAAACACTGTTTTTCTTTATTCTGTGAATGGACATTTGAGAACTCATTGAGGCCAATGATAAAAAAGTGAATATCCTGGGATAAAACTAGAAGGAAGCTATCTGAGAAACTGCTCCGTGATGGGTGCATTCATCCCACAGAGTTAAACTTTGCTTTTCATTCTGCATTTTGGAAATACTGTTTTTGTAGGATCTGCAAAGTAATATTTTGGAGTGCTTTGAGTCCTATGGTAAAAAAGATAATATATTCTGATAAAAGATAGAAAGAAGCTTTCTGAGAAATTATTTGTGATGGGCGTATTCATCTCACAGAGTTAATACCTTTTTAGAATTAGCAGTTTGGAAACAAGTTTTTGATCATTCTGCGAATGGACATTTGGGAGCTCATTGAAGCCAATTGACAAAAGGCGACTATCCCAGGATAAAAACTAGAAGAAAGCTACATGAGAAACTGATTTGTGATGTGTCCATTCATCTTGGAGAGTTAAACCTTTCTTTCATTCAGCAGTTTGGAAACAGTGTTTCTGTAGAATCATCAAAGGGATATTTGGGAACACATTGAGGCCTATGGGTAAAATAAATTATCTTAAGATAAAATAGAAGGAAGCTTTCTGAGAAACTACTTTGTGATGAGTACCTTCATCTCACAGAATTAAACCTTTCTTTTGATTCAGCAGTTTGGAAACACTGTTTTTGTCCTTTCTGCAAATGAACCTTTGGGAGCTAATTGAGGCCTAAGGTGAAAAAGTGAATAACCCAGGATAAAAACTAGAAGGAAGCTATCTGAGAAACTGCTTTGTGGTGTGTGGATTAATCTCACTGAGTTAAGCCTTTCTTTTCAATCAGCTGTTTGGAAACACTGTTTTTGTAGAATCTGCGAAGGGATATTTGTGAGAGCAATGAGGCCTATGGTATAAAAGAAAATATCTTCAGGTAAAAAGTAGAAAGAAGATTTCTGAGGTACTGCTTTGTTATGTGTGCATTCATCTCTTAGAATTAAATATTTCCTTAGATTCAGCAGTTTGGCAATACTGTTTTTATCCATTCTGTGAATGGACATTTTGTTGCTCATAGAGGCCACTAGTAAAAAAGCGAATATCCCAGGATAAAAACTAGAGGGAAGCTGTCTGAGAAACAGCTTTCTGATGTGCACACTCAACTTGCAGATTTAAGCCTTACTTTTAATTCAGCAGTTTGGAAACACTGTTTTTGTCCATTCCTCGAATGGACATGTGGGAACTTATTGAGGCCAATGGTGAAAAAATGAGTATCCTAGAATAAAAAGTAGAAAGAAGCTTTCTGAGAAACTGCTTTCTGATGTGTGCATTCATCTCACAGAGTTAAACCTTTCTTTTCATTCAGCAGTTTGGGAACACTGTTTTTGTAGAATCTGAGAAGTCACATTTTGGACTGCCTTGAGCCTACAGTGAAAAAGATAATATCTTCTGATAAAAAATAGAAAGAAGCTTTCTGAGAAATTATTTGTGATGGGTGCATTCATCTCACAGTGTTAAGCCTTTCTTTTGATGCAGCAGTTTGGAAACACGTTTTTGTCCATTCTGTGAAAAGACGTGGGAGCTCATTGAGACCAATTGACTTAAGGTGACTGTCCCAGGATAAAAACTAGAACGAAGCTATATGAGAAACAACTTTGCTAGGTGTGCATTCATCTCACAGAGTTAAACCTTTCTTTCACCCGGCAGTTTGGAAACACTGTTTCTGTAGAATCATTGAAGGGATATTTGGGATCACATTGAGGCCTATGGTGAAAACGAAATTATCTTCAGATAAAAAGTAGAAAGAAGCTTTCTGAGAAACTGCTTTGTGATGAGGGCCTTCATTTCACAGAGTTAAACCTTTCTTTTCAATCAACAGTTTGGAAACACTGTTTTCATCCTTTCTGCAAATGGACCTTTAGAAGCTAATTCAGGCATAATTTGAAAAAGTGAATAACCCAGGATAAAAACTAGAGGGAAACTATCTGAGAGACTGCTTTGTGATGTGTGGATTCATCTCACAGAGTTAAACCTTTCTTTTCATTCAGCAGATTGGAAACACAGTTTTTGTAGAATCTGTGAAGGGATATTTGGGATTGCATTGAGGCTTACTGTGAATAAGAAAATATCTTCAGATAAAAACCAGAAAGAATCTTTCTGAAAAACTCTTTTGTGATGTGTACATTAATCTCACAGAGTTATAACTTTCTTTTCATTTAGCAGTTTGGAAACACTGTTTTTGTCCGTTGTGTGAAAGGACATTTGGGAACTCATTGAGGCCATTGGCAAAAAAAAGGGGATATTCCAGGACAAAAACTGCAAGGAAGTAATCTGAGAAACCACATTGTGATGTGTGCATTCATCTCACAGACATAAACCTTACTTTTCATTCAACAGTTTAGAAAATCTGTTTTTGTAGAATATGCAAAGGGATATTTGGGAGTACATTGAGGCCTATGGTGAAAAAGAAAATATCTTCAGATAACAACTAGAAAGAAGCTTTCTGAGAAAGCACTTTATGATGTGTGTATTCATCTTGCCAAGTTAAAATTTCCTTTTCAAACAGCAGTTGGGAAACAATGTTTTTGTACAATATGTGAAGGGAAATTTTCAGCACATTGAGGCCTATGGTGAAAAAGAAAATAAGATAAAAACAAAAGCATAAAAACAAAAGGAAAAACAGTTTCTGAGAAACTGCTTTGTGATGTGTGCACTCATCTCACAGAGGTAAATCTTTCTTTTGATTCAGCATTTTGGAAACACTGTTTTTGTCTTTTCTGCAAATGGATATTTCAGAGCTCATTGATGTGAATGGAGAAAAAGTGAGTATTCCAAGATAAAAACTAGAAGGAAGCTATCTGAGAAACTGCTTTGTGATGTGTGCATTCATCTCACAGAGTTAAACCTTTCTTTTCATTCAGCTTTTTGGAAACACTGTTTTGGTAAAATCTGTGAAGGGATATTTGGAGTCCATTGATACCTTTGGTGAAAAATAAAATATCTTCAGATACAAAGTAGAAAGGTGCTTTCTGCGAAACTACTTTCTGATGTTGCATTCATCTCACAGAAATAAACTACTCTTTTGATTCAGCAGTTTGGAAACACTGTTTCTGTAGAATCTGCGAAGGGATATTTGGGAGCCCTTTGAGGCCTATGGTGAAAAAGTAAATATCTTCATATGAAAACGTGAAAGATCCTTTCTGAGAAACTGCTTTGTGATGTTTGCATTGATCTCACAGAGTTAAACCTTTCTTTTGATTCACCTGTTTGGAAACACTGTTTTTGTCCATTCTGTGAATGGACATTTGGGAGCTCATTGAGGCCAATGGTGAAAAAACAACTAGACCTGGACAAAAACTAGAAGAAAGCTATCTGAAAAACTGATTTATGATGTGTGCATTCACCTTGCAGAGTTAATCCTTTCTTTTGATTCAGCATTTTGAAAACACCGCTTTTGTCCATTCTGTGAATGGATATTAGGAAGCTCATTGAGGCCAATGGTGGACAAGCAAACATCACAGATTAATAACTAGAAGGAAGCAATATGAGAATCTGCTTTCTGATGTGTGCATTCATCTCACACAAGTTAACCATTCTTTTCATTCAGTAGTTTGGAAACACTGTTTTTGTAGAATTTGTGAAAGGATATTTGGGAGCGCATTGAGGCCTAAGGTGAAAAAGAAATATCTTCAGATAAAAAGCAGATAGAAGCTTTCTGAGAAACTGCTTTTAGATGTGTGCATTCATCTCACAGAGTTAAACCTTTCTTTTGATTCAGAAGTTTGGAATCACTGTTTTTGTCCATTCTGCAAATGGACATTTGGGAGCTCTTTGAGGCCAATGGCGAAAAAGAGAAAAACCCCGGATAAAAACTAGAAAGAAGATTTCTTAGAAACTGCTTTGTGATGTGTGCCTTCATCTCATAGAGCTAAACCTTTCTTTAGATTCAGCAGTTTGGAAACATTGATTTTGTCCTTTCTGCAAATGGATATTTTGGAGCTCACTTAGGCCATTGGCAAAAAAGCAAATATCCCTAGACAAAAACTAGAAAGAATCTATCTGAGAAAAACCTTTGTGATGTGCTCATTCTTCTGGCAGAGTTAAACCTTTCTTTTCATTCACCAGTTTGGAAACACTGTTCTTATAGTACCTTTCTTTTGATTCACCAGTTTTGAAACACTGTTTTTGTCCATTGTGCATTAGGTTTGGGAGCTCATTGAAGCCAATGGTGAATAAGTGAATATCTCAGGATAAAAACTGGAAGAAATCATCTGAGAAACCACTTGGTGATAGGTCCATTCAGCTCACAGAGTTAAACCTTTGTTTTCATTCAGCAGTTTGGAATCACTGTTTTTGTAGAATCTATGAAGGTATATTTGGGAGTGCATTGAGGCCTATAGAGAAAAAGACAATCTATTCAGATAAAAACTAGAAAGAAGCTTTCTGAAAAGCTGCCTTGTGATGTTTGCATTCACCTCAAGGCATTAAAGCTTTCTTCCAATTCAGCAGTTTGCTGACACTGCTTTTGTCCTTTCTGCAAATAGACATTTGGGAGCTCATTGAGGCCAATGGTGAAAAAGTGAATATCCAAGGATAAAAACTACAAGGAAGCTATCTGATATACTGCTTTGTGATGTGTGCATTCATTTCACTTATTTAACCTTATCTTTTCAATCATCAGTTCAGAAACACTGTTTCTGTAGAATATGTGAAGGGATATTTGGGAGCGCATTGAGGCCTATGGTGAAAAAGAAAATAACTTCAGGTAAAAATTAGAAAGAAGCTTTCTGAGCAACAGCTTTTAGGTGTGTGCATTCATCACACAGAGATAAAACTTTCTTTTGATTCAGCAGCTTGGAAACACTGTATTTTTACATTCTGTGAGTGGACATTTTGGAGCTCATTGAGTCCAATGGCAAAAAAGAGAATATCCCAGGATAAAAACAAGAAGGAAGCTATCTGAAAACCACTTTGTGATGTGTGCATTCATCTCACAGAACTAAACCTTTCTTTTCATTCAGCTTTTTGGAAACACTGCTTTTGTAGAATCTACAAATGGATATTTGGGAATGCATTGAGGCCTATGGTGAAAAACAAAATATCTTCAGATAAAAAGTAGATAGAAGCTTTCTGAGAAACTGCTTTTAAATGTGTGCATTCATCTCACAGAGTTAAACCTTCCTTTTGATTCAGCAGTTTGGAATCACTGTTTTTGTGTTTCTGTGACTGGATATTTGGAAGCTTATTGAGGCCAATGGCAGAAAAGCGAATATCCCAAGATTAAAACCAGAAGGAAGCTGTCTGAGAAAATGCTTTGTGATGTGTGCATTCATCTTGCAGAGTTAAACCTTTCTTTTCATTCAACAGTTTTGAAACTCTGTTTTTGTAAAATCTGCAAAGGGATGTTTGGGAGCGCATTGAGACCTACGGTGAAAAGGAAAATCTCTTCTGATAAAAATAGAAAGAAACTTTCTGAGAGACTGATTTGTGATGTGGGAATTCATCTCACAGAGTTAATCTTTCAGCAGTTTGGAAACACTTTTTTGTAGAACTGTGAAGGGATATTTGGGAGCACTTTGAGGCCTATGGTGATAAAGAAAATATCTTCAGATAAAACTAGAAGGAAGTTTTCTGAGAAACTGCTTTGTTATGTGTGCATTCACCTCACAGACATAAACCTTTCTTTTGATTCAGCAGTTTGGAAACACAGTTTTTGTCCATTCTGCGAATGGACATTTCAGAGCTCATTGAGGCAAATAGCTAAAAAGTGAATATCCCATGATAAAAACTAGAAGGAAGCTATCTGAGAAACTGCTTCGTGTTGTGGGCATTAATCTCACAGAGTAAAACCTTTCTTTTCTTTCAGCAGTTTGGAAAAACTGTTTTTATAGAAGCTACAAAGGGATATTTGGGAGCATGTTGAGGCCTATGTTGAAAAACAAAATATCTTCAGATAGAAAGTATAAAGAAGCTTTCTTAGGAACCGTTTTGTGATGTGTGCATTCATCTCACAGAGTTAAACTTTTCTTTTGATTCAGCAGTTTGGAAACACTGTTTTTGTCCATTCACAGAATGGGGATTTTGGAGCTCATTGAGGCCAATGACAAAACAGCAAATATCCCTCGATAAAAATTAGAAGGAAGCTATCTGAGAAACCATATTGTGATGTGTTCATTCATCTGGTAGAGTTAAACCTTTCTTTTCATTCTGCCCTTTGGAAACACTGTTTTTATAGAATCTGCAAAATGAAATTTGGGAGTGCATTGAGGCTTATGGTGAAAAGAGAAATATCTTCAGATATAAGCTAGAAAGTAGCTTTCTGAGAAACTGCTGCATGATGTGTGCATTCATCTAAACCTACTTGTAAACAGGATTGGACCCAGTTAGAAAAAATGAACGTACTTGTTTAGGAAGATTGCATTGCAGAACAGGCAGAGGTGCTGCACAATGATTCCTATGGAATCATTATTAATCATTCCCCTAAGGAGAGGTTTAGCTTGAATTGCACCTCTCAGTCTGTGTGCCGTGGCCACACTATGTTCAGATGATCTGAACCAAGTGGTCAGATGGTAGATATGATAAGAAGTACGACAAAACTTCCTATTATCTGGAACCATGGCAGTATTGTGGCACCTCAACCTCAAATGATATGGCCCGCACTGGGAGCTTAACATAAGGATTTGCGGAAACTATTAAATGCTCTTAATAAGATCAAAATTTGGGAAAGGATAAAAAAAATCTATAAGGACACTCTACAAACTTGTTTTTGGATATGCCAAAATTAAAAGAACAAACATTTAAAGCATCCCAGGCACACCTCACATTAATGCCAGAAACTGAGTGCTTAAAGGAGCTGAAGAAAAATTAGCAGCTAGTAACCCATTAAAATGGATAAAAACACTTGGAAGCTCTGTGATTTCAATGATGATTGTGCTTTTAATCTATGTTGTTTTTCTTTGTGTAGTCTGTAGTTGTGGATGTGACTCCTGTGAGAAGGAACTCACTGTGACAAAGCTGCCTTTGCTTTTATCAATTTGCAAATCAAAGAATGGGGACAGGTTGGGAGAAAGCCCTCCAAAATCTGTCCATAAACTGGCCCCCAAACTGGCCATAAATGAAATCTCTGCAACACTGTGACATGTGCTTTGTGACCCTAACTCACACACTGGAAGGTTGTGGGTTTACCAGAATGAGGGCAAGGAACACCTGGCCTGTCCATGGTGGAAAACCGTTTAAAGGCTTTCTTAAGCCACAAACAATAGCATGAGCAACTTGTGCCTTAAGGACATGCTCCTGACACAGTTAACTAGCCCAACCTATTCCTTTAATTTGGCCCATCCATTCATATCCCATAAGGGATAATTTTAGTTAATTTAATATCTACAGAAACAATGCTAATGACTAGTTTGCTGTTAACATATACATGTGTAAATCTCTATTCAGGACTTTCAGCTTTAAAGGCTGTGAGACACACGATTTCCCACTTTACAACTCTATATTTTTTTGTGTGTCTTTAATTCCTCTAGTGCCATTGGGTTAGAGTCTGCCAGAAAGTGCTGGTCTCAGAGGAAGCCTAAGGTGAAAAAAAAATATCTACAGATAAAAACTAGAAAGAAATATTTGAGAAACTGCTTTGTGATGTGTGCATTCATCTCACAGAGTTAAATATTTCTTTTGACTCAGCAGTTTGGAAACACTCTTTTTGTCCATTCTGTGAATGGACATTTTGGAGCTCATTGGGGCCAATGGCAAAAAAGTGAATATCCCAGGATAAAAACTAGAAGGAAGCTATCTGAGAAACCTCTTTGTGATGTCTGCATTCATCTCACAGAGTTAACACATTTTTTCATTCTGAAGTTTGGAAACACTGTATTTATAGAATCTGTGAATGGATATTTGGGAGCGCATTGAGTCCTATGTTGAAAAAGAAAATATCTTCAAATAAAAAGTAGAAAGAAACTTTTGAGAAACTGCTTCATGATGCATGCAAAATAAACCTTTCTTTTGATTCAGCACTTTGGAAACATTGTTTTTGTCCATTCTGTGAATGGAAATTTGGGAGTTCATTGAGGCCAATGGTGAAAAAGCATACTTCCCAGGATAAAAATTAGAAGGAAGCTATCTGAGAAACTACTTTGTGATGTGTATTCATCTCACAGAGATAAAACTTTCTTTTCATTCAGCAGTCTGGAAACACTTTTTGTAGAATCTGCAAAGAGATATTTGGGAGCTCACTGAGGCCTGTAATGAAAAAGAAAATTTCTTCAGATAAAAGGTAGAAAGAAGGTTTCTGAGAAACTGCTTTGTGCTGTGTGCATTCATTTCACAGAGTTAAACCTTTTTTTTTATTCAGCAGTTTGGAAACACTGTTTTTGTCCATTCTGCAAATGGACTTTTGAGAGCTCATTGAGGCCAAAGGCAAAAAAGTGAATATCCCAGGATAAAAACTAGAACTAAGCTATCTGAGAAACTGTGGTGTGATGTGTGCATTCATCTCGGAGATTTAAAACTTTATTTTCATTCAGCAGTTTGGAAACACTGTTTTTGTATGAAGGTATGTTTTGTGTGAAGGTATATTTGGGAGTGCAGTGTTACCTACAGTGAAAAAGAAAATATTTACAGATGAAAACTAGAAAGAAGCATTCTGTGAAGCTCTCACGTGATCTGTGCATTCTTCTCGCAGAATTAAAACGTTCTTTTCATTCAGCAGTTTGGAAACACTCTTTTTGTCCATTATGTGAATGGATATTTGAGAGCTCATTGAGGCCAATGGCAAAAAAGCAAACATTCCAGGATAAAAAGTAGAAAGAAGTTATCTGACAAACCGCTTTGTGATAAGCACACTTATCTCACAGATTTAAACCTTACTTTTCATTCAGCAAATTGGAAACACTGTTTTTGTAGAATCTGTAAAGGGATATTTGGGAGTCTTTTGAGGCCTAAGGTGAAAAAGAAAATACCTTCAGATAAAAACTAGTAAGAAGCTTTCTGAAAAACTGCTTTGTGATGTGTGCATTCATCTCACAGAGTTAAACTTTTCTTTTGATTCCACAGTTTGGAAACACAATTTTTGCCCATTCTGCAAATGGACATTTGGGAGCTCATTTAGTCTAATGGCAAAAGAGAATATCCCAGGATAAAACCTAGAAGGAAGCTCTCTGAGAAACCGCTTGGTGATGTGTGTATCCATCTCATAGAGTTAAAAGTTTCTTTTCATTCAGGAGTTTGGATACACTGTTATTGTTGAATCTATGAAGGTATATTTGGGAGTGCATGGAGGCCTATGGTGAAAAAGAAAATATCTTCAGATAAAAAGTAGAAAGAAACTTTCTGAGAAACTGCTTTGTGATGTGTGCAGTCATCTTCCAGAGTTAAACCTTTCTTTGATTCAGTAGTTTGAAAACACTGTTTTTGTCAATTCTGTGAATGGACATTTGGGAATTCATTGAGGCCAAAAGTGAAAAAGATAATATCCCAGGATTTAAAAAAAGTTCAAGGAAGATATCTCAGAAACTGCTTTGTGATTTGTGCATTCATCTCACAGAGTTAAACCTTTTTTTTCATTCTGCAGTTTGGAAATCATGTTTTTGTAGAGTCTGCAAAGGGATATTTGGGAGTGCCTTGAGGCCTATGGTGAAAAGAAAATACATCCAGATAAACCTAAAATAAGATTTCTTAGAAACTACTTTGTGATATGTGCATTCATCTCACAGAGTTAAATCTTTCTTTTCAGTCAGCTGTTTGGAAACAGTGTTTTTCGAGAATCTGTGAAGGGTTATTTGGGAGCACATCAAGGCCTTTAAGGAAAAAGAAAATATCTTCAGAGAAAAAGTAGATGGAAGCTTTTTAGAAACTGCTTTGTGATGTCTGCATTCATCTCACAGAGTTAAAACAGTCTTTAGATTGAGCAGTTTGGAAACTCTATTTTTGTAGAATCTATGAAATGTTATTTGGGAGTGCATTGAGGGCTATGGTGAAAAAAATATATCTTCAGATGATAACTAGAAAGAAGCCTTCCAAGAAGCTTCTTTTTGATGTGTGCATTCATCTCCCACAGTTAAAACTTTCTTTTGATTCAGCAGTTTGGAAACACTGTTTTTGCCCATTCTGTGAATGGACATTTGGGAGCTCATTTTGGCCAATGGCATAAAAGCAAATATCCCATGGTAAAAACTAGAAGGAAGCTTTCTGAAAAACTGCTTTGTGATATGTGCATTCATCTCACAGACATAAACCTTTCTTTTGGTTCAGCATTTGGAAACTGTGTTTTTGTCCATTCTGGGAATGGACATTTGGGTGGTCATTGAGGCCAATGGCAAAAAGGAGAATATCCCAGGATAAAACCTAGAAGGAAGCTATGTGAGAAACCGCTTGGTAAAGTGTGCATTCGTCTCACAGAGATAAAACCTCCTTTTCATTAAACATTGAGGCACATGGTGAAAAAGAAAATATCTTCAGATAAAAAGGAGAAAGAAGCTTTCTGAAAAACTGCTTTGTGTTGTTTGCTTTCATTTCACAGAGTTAAAAATTTCTTTTTATTCAGCAGTTTGGAAACACTGTTTTTGTCCATTCTCTGAATGGACATTTGGGAGCTCTTTGAGGCCAAAGGCAGAAAACTGAATATCCCAGGACAAAAACTAGAAGTAACCTATCTGAGAAACTACTTTGTGATGTGTGTATTCAACTCACAGATTTAAAACTTTCTTTTCATTCAATAGTTTGGAAACACTGTTTTTGTAGAAACTGCAAAAGGATATTGGGGAGTGCACTGTTGCCTATGGTGAAAAAGAAAATATCTTCAGATGAAAACTAGAACGAAGAATTCTGTGATGCTGCCTTGTGATTTGTGCATTCATCTCACAGAGTTAAACCTTTCTTTTTATTCAGCAGTTTAGATACACTGTTTTTGTAGAATCAGTGAAGGGATATTTGGGAGCACTTTGAGGCATATGGTGTTAAAGAAAATATCTTCAGATAAAAAGTAGAAGCTTTCTGACAAACTGCTTTGTGATGTGTGCATTGATCTCACATAGTAAAACCTTTCTTTTGATTCAGCAGTTTGGAAACACTGTTTCTGTCCATTATGTGAATGGACATTTGGAATCTCATTGAGGCAAATGGCAAAAAAGCCAATATTCCCAGATAAAAACTAGAAGGAAGCTATCTGAGAAACCTCTATGTGATGTGTGTATTCATCATGCTTAGTTAAACCATTCTTTTAATTCAGCAGTTTGGATACATTTTTTTTAAGAATCTGTGAAGGGATATTTGGGAGCACAATGAGGCATGTGCTGAAAAAGAAAATATCTCCAGTTAAAAACTAGTAAGAAGCTTTCTGATAAACTGATTTGTGATGTGTGCATTCATCAAACAGAGTTAAAACTTTCTTTTGATTCAGCAGTTTGGAAACACTGCTTTTGTCCATTCTACAAATGGACATTTGGAGGCTCATTGAGGCCGATGGCCAAAAAAGAATATCCCAGGATAAAAACTAGAAGGAAGCTATCTGAGAAACTTAATTGTGATGTGTGCATTCATATAGCAGAGATAAACCTTTATTTTCATTCAGCAGTTTGGAAACACTGTTTTTGTAGAATCTGTGCAGGGATATTTGGGAGCACATTGAGGCCTATGGTCAAAAAAAATCTTCAAATAAAAAGTAGAAAGAAGCTTTCTGAGATACTGCTTTGTGACGTGTGCATTCATCTAACAGATTTAAACATTTCTTTTCATATAGCAGTTTGGAAAAACTGGTTTTGCCCTTTCAGTGAACAGACATTTGGGAGCTCATTGAGGCCAAATGTGAAAAAGCGTATATCCCAGGTTAAAAACTAGGAGGAAGCTATCTTAGAAAGCAGTTTGTAATATATGAATTCAGCTCGCAGAGTAAAAGCTTTCATTTCATTCAGCCTTTTTGGAAACACTGTTTTTGTAGAATCTGCAAAGGGATATTTGGGAGTGCATTGAGGCATATGGTGAAACAGAAATTATCTCCAGATAAAAGCTAGAAAGAACCTTTCTGAGAAACTGCTTTGTGATGTGGGCATTCATCCCACAGTTAAACCTTTCTTTTTACTCAGCAGTTTGGAAACACTGTTTTTGTGGAATCTGCGAAGGGATATTTGGAAACACATTGAGGCCTATGGTGAAGCAGATATTATCTCCAGTTAAAAGCTAGAAAGAAACTTTCTGAGAAACTGGTTTGTGATGTGGGCATTCATCTCACAGAGATAAAAGTTTCCTTTGATTCAGCAGAGTGGAAACACTGTTTTTGTCCTTTCTGTGAATGGATATTTGGGAGCTCATTGAGTCCAAAAGCAAAATAGCGAATATCCCAGGATAGAAACTAGCAGGAAGGTATCTGAGATACTGCTTTGTGATGTGTGCATTCATCTTGCAGAGTTAAACCTTTGTTTTCCTTCAGCAGTTTGGAAACACTGTTTTTGTGCAAACTTTGAAGGTATATTTGGGAGCGCAGTGTTGCCTATGGTGAAAAAGAAAATATTTACAGATGAAAACTAGAAAGAAGCATTCTGTGAAGCTCTCATGTGATTTGTGCATTCATCTCACAGAGTTAAAACTTTCTTTTCATTCAGCAGTATGGAAACACTCTTTTTGTCCATTATGTGAATGGACATTTGGGAGCTCATTGAGGCCAATGGCGAAAAATCAAACATTCCAGGATAAAAAGTAGAAAGAAGCTATCTGACAAACCGCTTTGTGATGAATGCACTTATCTCACAGATTTAAACTTTATTTTTCATTCAGCAGATTGGAAACACTGTTTTTGTAAAATCTGTGAAGGGATATTTGGGAGTCTTTTGATGCCTAAGGTGAAAAAGAAAATATCTTCAGATAAAAACTAGAAAGAAGCTTTGTGAAAAACTGCTTTGTGATGTGTGCATTCATCTCACAGAATTAAACTTTTATTTTGATTCCACAGTTTAGAAACACAGTTTTTCCCCATTCTGCAAATGGACTTTTGGGAGCTCATTGAGGCCAATGGCAAAAGAGAAAATCCTATGATAAAAAGTAGAAGGAAGTTCTCTGAGAAACTGCTTTGTGATGTGTGCATCCATCTCATAGATTTAAAAGTTTCTTTTCATTCAGGAATTTGGATACACTGTTATTGTGGAATCTATGAAGGGATATTTGGGAGTGCATGGAGGCCTATGGTGAAAAAGAAAATATCTTCAGATGAAAACTAGAAAGAAGCTTTCTAACAAGACGCTTTGTGATGTGTGCACTCTTCTCACACAGTTAAACCTTTCTTTTGATTCAGCAGTTTGGAATCACTGTTTTTGCCTATTCTGCTAATGGACATTTGGTAGCCTATTGGGTGAATGGAGAAAAAGTGATTATCCCAGGGTAAAAATTAGAAGGAAGCTATCAGAGAAACTGCTTTGTGATATGTTCATTCAACTCAAAGAGTTAAAACTTTGTTTCGATTCAGCATTTTGGAAAAACTGTTTTTGTCCATTCTGCGAAAGGATATTTGGGATCTCATTGAGGAAATTGGCAAAAAAGTGAATATTGCAGGATAAAAACTAGAAGGAAGTGTCTGAGAAACTGCTTGGAAATGTTTGCATTCATCTGGCAGAGTTTTAAAACTTTCTTTACATTCAGCAGTTTGGAAACACTGTCTTTTTAGAATCTGTGAAGGGATATTTGGGAGCACATTGAAAGCTATGGTGAAAAAGAAAATAACTTCAGATAAAAAGAAGGAAGCTTTGTGAGAAACTACTTTGTGATGTGTGCATTCATCTAACAGATTTAAACCTTTCTTTGATTCAGTAGTTTGAAAAAACTGTTTTTGTCCATTCGGAGGATGGACATTTTGGAGCTCATTGAGGAAAAAGGTGAAAAAGTGAATATCCCAGGATAAAAACTAGAAGGAAGCTATCTGAGAAATGGCTTTGTGAAGTGTGTATTCATATTGCAAACTTAAACCTGTGTTTTAACTCAGCATTTTGGAAACAATCTTTTTGTAGAATCCGTGAAGGGATAAATCAGAGTGCAGTGATACTTATGGTTAAAAAGAAAATATCTTCAGATAAAAAGTTGAAAGAAGCTTTTTAGAAACTGCTTTGTGAAGTGTTGATTCACCTCACAGAGTTAAAACTCTCTTTTGATTCAGCAGTTTGGAAACTCTGTTTTTGTAGAATCTATGATGTGATATTTGGGAGTGCACTGAGGCCTATGGTAAAAAAGAAGATATCATCAGATAAAAAGTTGAAAGAAGCTTTCTGAGAGACTGCTTTGTGATGTGTGGATTCATCTCACAGAGTTAAATCTTTCTTTTCATTCAGCAGTTTGGAAACACTCTTTTTGTGGAATATGTGAAGGAATATTTGGGAGTGCATTAAAGCCTATAGAGAAAAATAAAATATCTTGAGATAAAAAGTAGAAAGAAGCTTTTTGAGAAGCTGCTCTGTGATGTGTGTATTCATCTCACAGATATAAACATTTCCTTTGATTCAGCAGTATGGAAACACTGTTTTTGCCCATTCTGCAAATGGACATTTAGGAGCTCATTGAGACCAAAGGCAAAAAAGAGAATATCCCAGGATAAAAACTAGAAGAAAGCTATCTGAGAAACTGCTTTGCAATGTGTGCATTCATCTCACAGAGTTAAACTTTTCTTTTGATTCAACAGTTTGGAAACACTGTTTTTATCCATTTTGCAAATGGACATTTGGGAGCTCATTGAGACCAATGGCAAAAAAGGAAATATCCCAGCATAAAAACTATAAGGAAGCTATGTAAGAACTGCTTTGTGATTTGCACATTCACCTCACAGAATTGAATCTTTCTTTTCATTCAGCTTTTTGGAAACATGTTTTCGTAAAATCTCTGCAGGGATATTTGAGAGTGCATTGAGGTTTATGGTGAAAAAGAAAACATCTATATATAAAAAGTTGGGAGAAACTTTGTGAGGAACAGCTTTATGATGCTTGCATTTATCTCATGGAGTTAAGCCTTTCTTTTCACTCAGCAGTTTGGAAACACGGTTTTTGTCCATTCAGCAAATCAACATTTGGTAGCTCACTGAGGCCAATGGTGAAAAAGGAAATATCCCTGGATAAAAATTAGAAGGAAGTTATCTGAGAAACCACTTTGTGATGTGCACATTCACCTTTCAGAGTTAAACCATTCTTTTCATTCAGCAGTTTGGAAACAGTGTTTTTGTGGGATCTGCAAAGGGATATTTCAGAGTGCATTGAGGCCTGTGGTGAAAAATAAATTAGCTTCAGATAAAAAGTAGAAAGAAGGTTTTTGAGAAACTGCTTTTTTATGTGTGCATTCATCTCATAGGGTTAATCTTTTGTTTTGATTCAGCTGATTGGAAACATTGTTTTTGTCCTTTCTGCAAATGTACATTTAGGAGCTCTTTGAGGCCAAAGGCGAAAAAGCGAATATCCCCGGATAAAAACTAGAAGTAGGCTATCTGAGAAGGAGCTTTGTGATGTGTGCATTCATCTCACAGAGTTAAAGCTTCCTTTTCATTCAACATTTGGAAATACTGCTTCTGTAGAATCTGCAGAGGGATATTTCAGAGTCAATGAGGCCTATGGTGAAAAAGAAATTATCATCAGATAAAAAGTAGAAAGAAACTTTATGAGAAACTGCTTTGTGAGGTGTGATTTCATCTAACAGAGTTAAACTTTTCTTCTGATTCAGCTGATTGGAAACATTGTTTTTGTCCTTTCGGCAAATGTACATTTAGGAGCTCTTTGAGGCCAAAGGCAAAAAAGTGAGTATCCCTGGATAAAAACTAGAAGTAGGCTATCTGAGAAGCAGCTTTGTGATGTGTGCATTCATCTCACAGAGTTAAACCTTCCTGTTCATTCAACATTTGGAAACACTGCTTTTGTAGAATCTGCAAAGGGATATTTGGAAGTGCATTGAGGCCTATGGTGAAAAAGAAATTATCATCAGATAAAAAGTAGAGAGAAGCTTTATGAGAAACTGCTTTGTGATGTGTGCTTTCATCTAACAGAGTTAAACCTTTCTCTTCATTCAGCACTTTGGACACACCGTTTTTGTAGAATCTGGGAAGCAATATTTGGGAGTGCATTAAGGCCTATGGTGAAACAGAAATTATATCTAGATAAAAGTTAGAAAGAAGCTTTCTGAGAAACTGCTTTGTGATGTGTGCATTCATCTCACCAATTTAATCATTTCTTTCAATAGAGCAGTTTCAAAACACTGTTTTTGTCTCACAAACCTTCAAGGAAGCTATCTGAGAAAACACTTTGTGATGTGTGCATTCATCTCACAGAGGTAAACCTTTCTTTTCATTCAGGACTTTGGAAACACTGTTTTTGTAGAATCTGCAAAGAGAAATTTGGGAGCTCATTGAGGCTTATGGTTAAAGGGAAAGTATCTTAAGATAAAAAGTAGAAAGAAGTTTTCTGAGAAACTGCTCTGTGATGGGTGCATTCACCTCACAGAGTTAAACCTTTTGTTTGATTCAACAGTTTGGAAAAACTGTTTTTGTCCATTCTGCAAATGTACATTAGGTAGCTGATTGAGGCCAATGGCAAAAAAGAGATATCCCAGGATAAAAACTAGAAGTAAGCTATGTTAGAAACTGCTTTGTGATGTGTGCTTTCATCTCATAGAGTTAAACCTTTCTTTTTATTCAGCAGTTTAGAAACACTTTTTTTGTAGAATCTGCAAAGGGATACTGGGGAGCACCTTGAGTCTTATGGTGAAAAAGAAAATATCTTCAGATAAAAAGTAGAAAGAATCTTTCAGACAAACTGCTTTGTGATGTCTGCATTCATCTCACAGAGTTAAATATTTCTTTTGATACCCCAGTTTGGAAACACTGATTTGTCCTTTGTGCGAATGAAGATTTGGGAGCTCTTTGAGACCAAATGTAGAAAAGTGAATATCCCAGAATAAAAACTTCAAGGAAGCTATGTGAGAAATGGTTTTGTGATGTGTGCATTCATCTGGCAGAGTTAAACCTTTCTTTTCATTCAGCAGTTTGGAAACACTGTTTTTTTTTTTTTTTTTTTTCATAGAATCTGTGAAGGGATATTTTGCCCTATAGTGAAAAAGAAAATATCTTCAGACGAAAATTAGAAAAAGCTTTCTCATAAACTGCTTTGTGATGTGTGCATTCATCTCACAGCATTAAACCTTTCATTTCATTCAACATTTTGGAAACACTGTTTTTGTCCATTCTGCGAATGGACATTTGTGAGGTCTTTGAGGCCAATGGCAAAAAAGGGAATATCCCAGGGTAAAAACTACAAGGAAGCTATCTGAGAAACTGATTTGTGATGTCTGCATTCATCTCGCAGAGTCAAACCTTTCTTTTAATTCAGCAGTTTGGAAACAATGTTTTTGTAGCATCTGGGAAGTGACATTTAGGAGCACATTGAGACCTATGTTGAAAAAGAAAATACCTTAAGATAAAATCTAGAAAGAAGCCCTCTGACAAATTGGTTTATGATGTGGACATTCATATCACTGAGTTAAAACTTCCTTTTGATTCAACAATTTGAAACACTGTTTTTGTCCATTCTGCAAATGGACATTTAAGAGCTCATTGAGGCCAGTGGAGAAAAAGAGAATATCCCAGGAAAAAATTAGAAGGAAGATATCTGAGAAACTGCTTTCAGTTGTGTGCATTCATCTTGCAGAGTTAAAATTTTATTTTCATAATGCAGATTGGAAACACTGTTTTTGTAGAATCTGCAAAGGGATATTTGGGAGAGCATTGAGGATTATGGTGAAAAAGAAAATATCTTCATATAAAAACTAGAGAGAAGATTTCTGACAAACTGCTTTGTGATGTAAGCATTCATCTCACAGAATTAAAACTTTCTTTTGATTCAACTGTCTGGAAACACTGTTTCTGTGCATTCTGCAAACAGACATTTGGAAGATCATTGAGGCTAATGGAGAAAAAGAGAATATCCCAAGATAAAAACTGCATGGAAACTCTCTGAAAAACCTCTTTGTGATGTTTGCATTCATCTCACAGAGTTAAACCTTTCCTTTAATTCAGAAGTTTGGAAATACTGTTTTTGTAGAATGTGAGAAGGGATATTTGGGAGCACATTGAGGCCTCTGGTGTAAAAGAAAATATCTTCAGACAAAAAGTAGAAAGAAGCTTTCTGAGGAACTGCTTTGTATGTGTGCATTCATCTGACAGAGTTGTAACTTTCTTTTGATTATGCAGTTTGTATACACTGTTTTTCTCCATTCTGCAAATGGATATTTTTGAGCTCTTTGAGACTAATGTCAAAAAAGGGAATATCCTAGGATATAAACTAGAAGGAAGCTAGCTGAGAAACCGTTTTGTGATAGTGTGATAGGTTCATTCAGCTCACAGAGTTAAACCTTTGTTTTCATTCAGCAGTTTGGAATCACTGTTTTTGTAGAATTGCAAAGGGATATTTGGGAGCCCATTGAGGCCTATGGTGAAAGAGTAAATATCTTCACATAAAAACTAAAAGAAGCTTTCTGAGAAACTGCTTTGTGATGTATGCATTCATCTCACAGAGTTAAACCTTTCCTTTGATTAAGCAGTTTCAAATATTCTGTTTTTCTCCATACTGATAATGGATATTTTTGAGGTCTTTGAGGCCAATGTCAAAAAAGGGAATATCCCAGGATAAAAAATAGAAGGAAGGTATTGAGAAACCGCTTTGTGATGTTTGCATTCATGTCACAGAGTTAAACATTTCTTTTCAATCAGCAGTTTGGAAACACTGTCTTTGTAGAATCTGCAAAGGGATATTTGGGAGCACATTGAGGCCTAAGGTGAAAAAGTAAATATCTTCATATAAAAACCAGAAAGAAGCTTTCTGAGAAACTGCTTTGGGTGTATGCATTCATCTTACAGAGTTAAACATTTCCTGTGATTCCGCAGTTTGGAAACACTGCTTTTGTCCATTCTGTGAATGGACATTTGGGAGCTCATTGAGGTCAATGGAGATAAAGCAAATATCCCAGGATAAAAAATTGAAGGAAGCTATCTGAGAAATCACTTTGTGCTGTGTGCATTCATCTCACAGTGTTAAACTTTTCTTTTGATTCAGCAGTCTGGAAACACTGATTTGTGATTTGTGCAAATAAACATCTGGGAGTTGATTGAGGACAAAGGCAAAAAGGAGAATATCACAGGATAAAAACTAGAAGGAAGTTAGCTGAGAAACTGCTTTGTGATGTGTGCATTCATTTTGCAAGTTAAAACTTTGGTTTCATTCAGCAGTTTGGAAACACTGTTTTTGTAGAATCTGCTAATGGATATTTGGGAGCACATTGAGCCTATGGTGAAAAAGAACATATCTTCAGATAAAAACTAGAAAGAAGCTTTCTGAGAACATTCTTTGTGATGTCTGCCTTTACCTCAGAATTCAACCATTCTTTTGATTCAACAAAAGAATGTCTTGTGATGTACGCATTCATGTCACAGAGCTAAACCTTTCTTTTGTTTCAGCAGTTTGGAAACACTCTTTTGTCAGTCAGGTGAATGGACAATAGGGAGCACCTGGAGGCAATGATGAAAAAGTGAATAACCCAGGATAAAAACTAGAGGGAAGCTATTTGAGGTAGAATCTGTGAAGGGATATTTGGGAGTGCATTGAGGTCTAAGGTGAAAAAGAAAATACCTTCAGATAAAAAGTAGAAAGAAGCTTTCTGAAAAACTGCTTTGCGATGTGTGCATTCATCACACAGAGGTAAACATTTCTTTAGACTCAGCAGTTTGGAAACACTTTTTTTGTCCATTCTGTGAATGGACATATGGGAGCTCATTGAGACCAATGGAGAAAAAGTGAATATCACAGGAAAAAACCTAGAAGGAAGCTATCTGAGAAAAGGCTTTCTGATGTGTGTATTCTTCTCACAGTGTGAAACCTTTTTTTCAATCAGCAGTTTGAAAACACTGTTTTTGTAGAATCTGTAAAGAGATAATTGGAAGCACATTGAGGCCTATGGTGAAAAAGAAAATGTCTTGAGATAAAAAGTAGAAAGAAGCTTTCTGAGAAACTGCCTTTTGAAGTATGCATTCATCTCACAGAGTTATACCTTTCTTTTGATTCAGCAGCTTGGAAACATGGTTTTTGTCCATTTTGTGAATGGATGTTTGTCAGCTTATTGAGGTCAATGGCGAAAAAGTGAATATCCCATGATAAAAACTAGAAGGAAGCTTTCTGAGAAACTGCTTTGTGATGTGTGCATTCATCTTACAGAGTTAAACCGTTTTTTATGATTCCTTAGTTGGGAAACACTTATTTGTCCATTCTGTGAATGGGCTTTGGGGAGCACATTGAGTACAATGACAAAAAAGTGAATATCCCAGGATAAAAACTAGAAGGAAGCTATCTGAGAAACTGCTTTTTGATGTGTGCATTCAACTCACAAAGTTCAACGTTTTTTTTCACTAAGCAGTTTGTAAACACTGTTTTTGTAGAATCTGCAAAGAGGTATTTGAGAGCGCATTGTATCTTATGGTGAAAAAGAAAATATCTTCAGATAAAATGTAGAAAGAAGCTTTCTGAGGATCTGCTTTGTGATGTGTGCATTCATCAAACAGAGTTAAAACTTTCTTTTGATTCAGCAGTTTGGAAAAACTGTTTTTGTCCATTCTGTGAATGGACATTTTGGAGCCCATTGAGGCCAATGGTGAAGAAGGGAATATCCCAGGACAAAAACTAGAATTAAGGCACCTGAAGAACTGCTTGGTGATGTGTGCTTTCATCCCACAGGGATAAATGTTTGTGTTCATGCAACACTTTGGAAACACTATTTTTGTACAATCTGTGAAGGGATATTTGAGAGTGCATTGAGGCCTATGGTGAAAAAGAAAATATCTTCAGATAAAAACTAGAAAGAATCTTCCTGGGGAACTGCTTTGTGATGTGTGCATTCATCTCACAGAGTTAAGCCATTCTTCTGATTCAGCAGTTTGGAAACTCTGTTTTTGTCCATTCTGTGACTGGACATTTAGGAGCTAGTTGAGGCCAAAGGGGAAAAAGTGAATATCCCAGGATAAAAACTTGAAGGAAGCTATCTGAGAAACTGCTTTGTGATGTCTGTATTTAACTCACAGTGTTGAACCATTTTTTTCATTCAGCAGTTTGGAAACACTGTTTTGTAGAATCTGCAAAGGGATATATTGGAGTGCATTGAGGTCGATGGTGAAAAGTAAATATCATCAGATAAAAAGTAGAAAGGAACTATCTGTGAGACTGCTTTGTGATGTGTGCATTCATCTAAAACAGTTACACTTTTCTTTAGACTCAGCAGCTTGGAAACAGTGTTTTTGTCCTTTCTGAGAGTGGACATTTCGGAGGTCACTAATGCCAATGGCAAAAAAGTGAATATCCCAGGATAAAAACTAGAAGGAATCTATCTGACAAAAAGCTTTCTGATGTGTGCATTCATCTCACAGAGTTAAACCTTTTTTCTCACTCAGTAGGTTGGAAATACTGTTTTTGTAGAACCTGTGAAGGCATATTTTGGAGGTCATTGAGTTCTATGGTGCAAAAGAAAATATCTGCAGATAAACAGTAGAAAGAAGCTTTCTGAAGAACAGCTTTTGATGTGTGCATTCATCTCCCAGGGTTAAAATTTTCTTTTGATTCAGAAGTTGGGAAACACTGTTTTTGTGAATTCTGCAAATGGACATTTGGAAGGTCATTGAGGCCAATGGCAAAAAAGTGAATATCCCAGGATAAAACTAGAAGGAAGCTATCTGAGAAACCCCTTTGTGATGTGTGCATTCATCTTGCATATTTAAACCTTTCTTTTCATTCAGCAGTTTGGAAACACTTTTCTTGCAGAATCTGTAAAGGGAAATTTGGGAGCACATTAAGGCCTAAGGTGTAAAATAAAATATCTTCATATAAAAAGTAGAAAGAAGCTTCTGTGAAACTGCTTTGTTATGTGTGCATTCATCTCAAAGAGTTTAACCTTTCATTTGATTCAGCTGTTTCAAAACACTTTTTGTCCATTCTGCAAATGGACATTGGGAGGTCATTGAGGTCAATAGTGAAAAAGTGAATACCACAGGATAAAAACTAGAAGGAAGCTCTCTGAGTAACCACTTTCCGATGTGTGCATTCAATTCGCAGAGTTAAACCTTTCTTTTTCATTAAGCAGTTTGTAAACACTGTTTTTGCAGAATCCTCAAAGAGATATTTGGGAGTGTATCGAGGCCTATGGTGAAAAATAAAATATTTCCGATAAAAACTAGAAAGAACATTCTGATATTCTACTTTTTGATGTGCCCATTCATCTCATACAGTTAAACCTTTCTTTTGATTCAGCAGTTTGGAAACACTCTTTTTGCCCATTCTGTGAATGGATATTTCAGAGCTCACTGAAGCCAATGGCGAAAAAGTGAATATTCCAGAATAAAAACTAGAAGGAAGCTATCTGAGAAACTGCTTTGTGATGTATGCATTCATCTCACAGAGTTAAACCATTCTTTTCATTCAGCAGTTTAGATAAAGTCTTTTTGTAGGATCTGTGAAGGGATACTTGGGAGCACTTTGAGGCCTATGGCGAATAAGAAAACATCTTCAGAGAAAAAGTGAAGTCTTTCTGAGAAACTGCCTTGTAATGTGTGCATTCATCTCACAGATTAAAAACTTTCTTTTGATTTAGCAATTTGGAAACACTCTTTTTGTCCACTCTGTGAATGGACATTTGAGATATCATTGAGACCAATGGTGAAAAAGTGACTATCCCAGGATTAAAACTAGAAGAATGCTACCTGAGAAACTGCTTTGTGATGAGTGCATTCATCTCGCAGATTTAAACTTTTGTTTTAATTCAGCAGTTTGGAAACACTGTTTTCATGGAATATGCGAAGGGATATTTGGGAGTGCTTTGAGGATGAAGATGAAAAAGAAAATACTTTCAGATAAAAACTAGAAAGAAGCTTTCTGAGAAATTGATTTGTGTTGTGTGCATTAATCTCAAAGAGTTAAACTTTTCTTTTCATTCAGCAGTTGGGAAACATTGTTTTTGTCCATTCTGCTAATGGACATTTGGGAGCTCATTGAGGCCAATGGCAAAAAAGTGAATATCCCAGGATAAAAACTGGAAGGAAGCTATATGAGAAACCACTTTGTGATGTGTGCATTCATCTCGCAGAGTTATACCCTTCTTTTCATTCCGCAGTTTGAAAACACTGTGTTTGTACAACCTGCAAAGGGCTATTTGGGAGCACATTGAGGCCTATGGTGAAAAAGAAAATATCTTCAGATAAGAAGTAGAAAGAAGATTTCTGAGAAGGTGGTTTGTGTTGCATGCATTCATCTCACAGACTTAAACCTTCCTTTTGATTCAGTAGTTCTAGTCACCTCTCACCTCTCACTATGTCCCTTCAGCTTCTATCTTTGTATGGCCTGTTCTTTCTTAGGTTATGATTGTAGAGTGATGATTATTATAATATTGGAATATAGAGTAATTGCTAAAAAGTAATGATTAATGATATTCACATATAATCATATGTATGATCTATATCTACTATAACTGTTCTTATTTTATATATTTAATTATACTGGAACAGCTCGTGCCCTTGGTCTCTTGCCTCGGACTTGGCTGCCTTGCTGCCCACAATTGGCCTCAATGAGCTCCCAAATTTCTATTCACATAAAGGACAAAAACAGTGTTTCCAAAGTGCTGAATCAGCAGAAAGGTTTAACTGTGAGATGAATCCACACATCAAAAAGCAGTTTCTCAGAAAGCTTCTTTTGATTTTTTATCTGAAGATATTTTCATTTTCACCATAGGCCTCAATGCAATCCCAAATATCCCTTAGCAGATTCTACAAAAACAGTGTTTCCAAACTTCTGAATGAAAAGAATGGCTTAACTCTGTGAGGTGAATGCACATATCACAAAGCGGTTTCTCATATAGCTCCTTTCTGGTTTTTATCGTGGGATATTCACTTTTTTGCCATTGGCCTCAATGAGCTCCCAAATATCCATTTGCAGAACATACAAAAACAGTGTTTCCAAACTGCTAGATCTAAAGAAAGGTTTAACTCTGTAAGATGAATGCACACATCACAAAGCAGTTTCTCAGAAAGCTTCTTTCTAGTTTTTATGTGAAGATATTTTCTTTTGCACCATAGGCCTCAATGCGATCCCAAATATCCCTTCGCAGATTCCACAAAAACAGTGTTTGCAAACTGCTGAATGAATAGAAAGGTTTAACTCTGAGACATGAATGCACACATCACAAAGCAGTTTCTCAGATACTTTCCTTCTAGTTTTTATCCTGGGATATTGGCTTTTTCACCATTGGCTCTAGGGTCCAGGCCCACAGGGTCGGTGTGTCTCCCTCTGTGTGGAGATGAGAAATTGTAGAAATAAAGACACAAGACAAAGAGATAAAAAAAAGACTGCCTGGCCTGGGGGACCACTAACACCAAGAGACAGAGACCAGTAGTGGCCCCAAATGCCAGGCTGTGCTGATATTTATTGGATACAAAACAAAAGGGCAGGCTAAGCAGTGTGAGCCATCTCCAATGATAGGTAAGGTCAGGTGGGTCACTTGTCCACTGGAGAGGGGGCCCTTCCCTTTTTGGCAGCCAGCCGAGGTGGAGAGAGAGGAGATAGCTGACAACATTATTTCTTCATATCAGAGACTTTTAGTGTTTTCACTAATTTTTCTACTGCTATCTAAAAGGCAGAGGCAGGTGTACAGGATGGAACATGAAAGCAGACTAGGAGCATGACCACTGAAGCATAACATCACAGGGAGACTGTTAGGCCTCTGGATAGCTGCAGGCATGCCTGACTGATGTCAGGCCCTCCACAAAACTTGGGGATGTAGAGTCTTCTCTAAACTACCCCAGGGAAAGGCAGACTCCCTTTTCCAGTCTGCTAAGTAGTGGGTACTTTTACTTGGCACTGACTCTACCACTAGACCATGGTCTGCTTGGCAACAGGCGTCTTCCCAGATGCTGGCGTTAGTGCTAGATGAAGGATCCCTCTGCTGGCCCTGTCCGGGAATATCAGAAGGCTCACACTCTTGTGTTCTGGTCACCTCTCCCTGTGTCCCTTCAGCTCCTATCTCTGTATGGTCTGGTTTTACTTAAGTTATGATTGTAGAGTGAGGATTATTATAATATTGGAATAAAGAGTAATTGCTACAAACTAATGATTAATGATATTCATATATAATTGCATCTATGATCTATATCTAGTATAACTATTTTTATTTTATATATTTAATTATACTGGAACAGCCCATGCCCTTGGTCTCTTGCCTCGGCACCTGGGTGCCTTGTGGCCCACAATTGGCCTCAATAAGCTCCCAAATGTCCATTTCCATAAAGGACAAAAACAGTGTTTCCAAAGGGCTGAATCAAAAGAAAGTTTTAACTCTGTGAGATGAATCCCCACTTCAGAAACCAGTTTCTCAGAAAGCTTCTTTCAATTTTTTATCTGAAAATATTTTCTTTTTCACCATAGGCCTCAATGCACTCCCAACTTCGCAGACTCTACAAAAACAGTGTTACCAAACTGCTGAATGAAAAGAAAGGTTTAACTCTGTGAGATGAATATACACATCACAAAGCTGTTTCTCAGATAGATTCCTTCTTGTTTTCTTCCTGGGATATTTGCTTTTTCACCACTGGCCTCAATGAGCTCCCAAGTGTCCATTCACAGAATGGACAAAAACAGTGTTTCCAACTGCTGAATGAAAAGAAAGGTTTAACTCAGTGAGATGAATGCACACAACACAAAGCAGTTTCTCAGATAGATTCCTTCTAGTTTTCATCCTGGGTTATTCACTTTTTCACCATTGGCCTCAATGAGCTCCCAAATGTTTATTTGCAGAATGGACAATAACAGATTTCCAAACTACTGAATCAAAAGAAATGTTAAGATCTGTGAGATCAATGCACACATCAAGAAGCAGTTTCTCAGGAAGATTCTAGTTTTTATCTGAAGATATTTTCCTTTTCACCATAGGCCTCAATGCACTCCCAAATATCCCATAGCAGATTCTACACAAACAGTGTTTCCAAGCTATTGAATGAAAAGGAAAGTTTAACTCTGCAAGATCAATGAGCACCTCACAAAGCCGTTTCTCAGATAGCTTCCTTCTCGTTTTTATCCTGGGGTATTCCCGTATTCACCATAGGCCTCAATGAGCTCCCAGATGTCCATTTGTAGAATGGACAAAAACAGTATTTCCAAACTGCTGAATCAAAACAAAGGTTTAACTCTATAAATCCACACATCACAAAGCACTTTCTCAGAAAGCTTCTTTCTGGTTTTCATCTGAAGATATTTTCTTTTTCACCGTAGGACTCAATGCACTCCCACTATACCTTCACAGATACTACAAAAACAGTGTTTCCAAACTGCTGAATGAAAAGAAAGTTTGAACTCTGCTAGATGAAAGCACACATCACAAAGCCATTTCTCAGATAGCATCCTTCTAGTTTTTATCTTGGGATATTTGCATTTTCACCCTTGTACTCAATAAGCTCCAACACGTCCTTTTGCAGAATGGACAAAAACAGTGTTTCCAAACTGCAGAAACAAAATAAAGGTTTAACTCTTTGAGATTAATGCACACATCACAAAGCAGTCTCTTGGAAAGCTTCTTTCTAGTCTTTATCTGAATGTATTTTCTCTTTTACCATAGGCCTAAATGTGCTTAAAAATGTCAATAACAGGTTCTTCAAAAACAGTGGTTTCAAACTGCTGCATGAATAGAAAGTTTTAATGGTGCAAGATGAATGCACACATCACAAAGCAGTCTCAGATATCCTCCTTCTAGATTTTATATTGGGATATTCGCTTTTTCACCTTTGGCCTCAATGAGCTCCTAAATGTCCATTCACAGAATGGACAAAAAGAGTGCTTGCAAACTGCTGAATCAAAAGAAAGGTTTAACTATGTGAGGTGAATGCAAACATCACAAAGCTGTTTCTCATATAGCTTCCTTATAGTATTTATCCTGGGATATTCCCTTTTTCACCATTGGCCTCAAAGAGCTGCCAAATATCCCTTCACAGAATGGACAAACATTGTGTTTCAAAACTGTTGAAATACAAGAAAGGTTTAACTCTTTCAGATGAATGCACACATCACAAAGCAGCTTCTCAGAAAGCTTCTTTCTAGTTTTTCTATGAAGATATTTACTTCTTCACCATATGCCTCAATGGGCTTCCAAATATCCCTTAGCAGATTCTACAAAAACAGTGTTTCCTTACCCGTGAATCAAAAGAAAAGTTTAACTCTGGAGATAAATGTGCACATCACAAAGCAGTTTCTCAGAAAGGTTCTTTTTTTAATTTTATTATTATTATACTTTAAGTTTTAGGGTACATGTGCACAACGTGCAGTTTTGTTACATATGTATACATGTGCCATGTTGGTGTGCTGCACCCATTAAGTCATCATTTAGCATTAGGTATATCTCCTAATGCTATCCCTCCCCCTCCCCCAACCCCACAACAGTCCCCAGTGTGTGATGTTCCCCTTTCTGTGTCCATGTGTTCTCATTGTTCAGTTCTCACCTATGAGTGAGAACATGTGGTGTTTGGTTTTTTGTCCCTGTGATAGTTTGCTGAGAATTATGGTTTCCAGATTCATCCATGTCTCTACAAAGGACATGAACTCATCATTTTTTATGGCTGCATAGTATTCCATGGTGTATATGTGTCACATTTTCTTAATCCAGTCTCTCATTGTTGGATATTTAGGTCGGTTCCAGGTCCTTGCTATTGTGAATAGTGCCACTATAAGCATACGTGTGTATGTGTCTTTATAGCAACATGATTTATAATCCTTTGGGTATATACCCAGTAATGGGATGGCTGGGTCAAATGGTATTTCTAGTTCTAGATCCCTGAGGAATCACCACACTGACTTCCACAATGGTTGAACTAGTTTACAGTCCCACCAACAGTGTAAAAGTGTTCCTATTTCTCCACATCCTCTCCAGCACTGGTTGTTTCCTGACTTTTTAATGATCACCATTCTAACTGGTGTGAGATGATATCTCATTGTGGTTTTGATTTGCATTTCTCTGATGGCCAGTGATGATGAGCATTTTTCATGTGTTTTTTGGCTGCATAAATGTCTTCTTTTGAGAAGTGTCTGTTCATATTCTTCGCCCACTTTTTGATGGGATTGTTTGTTTTTTTCTTCTGGTTTTCATCTCAAGATATTTTCTTTTTCAGCATGGGCCTCAATGTGCTCCAAAATATCCTTTCACAGATTCTACAAAAACAGTGTTTCCAAACTACTGAATGAAAAGAAAGTTTTAACTCTGTGAGATGGGTGAGCACATCACGTAGCCATTTCTCAGAGAGCTTCCTTCTAGTTTTTATCCTGGGATATTTGCTTTTTCACCTTAGCTCTCAATTAGCTCCAAAATGTCCATTCACAGAATAGACAAAAACAGTGTTTCCAAACTGCTGAACCAAAACAAAGGTTTAATTTTGGGAGATGAAAGCAAACAGAACAAAGCAGTTTCTCGGAAAGCTTCTTTCTAGTTTTTATCTGAAGATATTTCCTTTTTCCCCATAGGACTCAATGCGCTTTCAAATGTCCGTTTGCAGATTCTACAAAAAAAGTGTTCCAACCTGCTTAGTGAAAAGAAAGGTTCAACCATGTGAGATGAATGCACACATCACACAGCATTTTCTAAGATATCCTTCTTCTAGTTTTTATCTTAAGATAATCACTTTTTTGCCACTGGCCTCAATGAGCTTCCAAATGACCATCCACAGAAAGGACAAAAACAGTGTTTCCAAACTGCTGAATCAAAAGAAAGATTTAACAGTGAGACATGAATGCACACATCACAATGCAGTTTCTCAGAGGGCTTCTTTCTACTTTTTATATGAAGATATTTTCTTTTTTTAACATAGGCCTCCATGAACTCCCAAGTATCCCATTGCAGATCCTACAAAAACAGTGACTCCGAGTAGCTGAATGAAAACAAAGGTTTAAGTCTGTGAGATGAATGCACACATCAAAAAGCAGTTTCTCAGTTATCTTCCTTCTAGTTTTTATCCTGGGATATTTACATTTCCTCCATTGCCCTCAATGAACTCCAAAATGTCCATTAACCAAAAGGATAAAAATAGTGTTTCCAAACTACTGAAACAAAAGAAAGGTTTAACTCTGTGAGATGAATACACACATCACAATGCAGTTCCTCAGGAAGCTTCTTTTTATTCTTTATCAAATGATATTTTCTTAGATATTTTCTTTGCTAGACCTCAATGCACTCCCAAAAATCCCTTCAAAGATTCTACAAAAAGAGTTTCCAAACTGCTCAATGAAAAGGAATGTATAACTCTGTGAGATGAATGCACACATCACAAAGCAGTTTCTCCCATAGCTTCCTTCTAGTTTTTATCCTGAGATATTCCCTTTTACGCCTTTGGCCTCAAAGAGTTCCCAAATGTCCATTCACAGAATGGACAAAAACGGGTTTCCAAAATGCTGAATCAAAAGAAAGGTTTAACTCTGGGAGATGAATTGACACCTCATAAATCAGTTTCTCTGAAAGCTTCCTTCTACCTTTTATCAGAGGTTATTTTCTTGTTCACCATGGACCTCAAGACACTCCCTAATATCCCTTCACAAATTCTACAAAAACAGTGTTTCCAAACTGCTGAAAGAAAAGAAAGATTTAACTATGCGAGATGAATGCACACATCACAAAGCAGTTTCTCAGACACCTTCCTTCTGCTTTTTATCCTGGGATATTTGTTTTCTCACCATTGGACTCAATAATCTCCAAAATGTCCATTTGCAGAAAGAACAAAACAAGTGTTTCCAAACTGCTGAATGAAAAGAAAGGTTTATCTCTGTGAGATGAATGCACACATCACAAAGCAGTTTCCGAGAAAGCTTCTTTCTACTTTTTATGAGAAGATAATTTCTTTTTCACCATAAACCTCAATGAACTCCCAAATACACCTTTCCAGTTTCTACAAAAACAGTGTTTCCAAACTGCTGAATGAAAAGACAGGTTTAACTCTGTGAGATGAATGCACATATCACAAAGCAGTTTCTCAGATAGCTTTCTTCCAGTCTTTATCCTGGGATATTAATGTTATCACCATTTTCTTCAATGAGCTCCCAAATTTTCATTCACAAAATGGAAAAACACAGTATTTCCAAACTGCTGAATCAAAATGAAGGTTTAACTCTGTGAGATGAATGCACACATCACAAAGCAGTTTCTCGGAAAGCTTCTTTCTGTTTTTTATCTGAAGATATTTTCTTTTTCACCACAGGCCACAAAATACTCCTAAATGTCCCTCACCGATCCTACAAACTCAGTGTTTCCAAACTACTGAATGAAAAAAAAAAGGTTTAACTCTTTGAGATAAATGCACACCTCACAAAATGGTTTCTCAGATAGCTTCCATTTAGTTTTTATCATGGGGTATTCATGTTTTCACCATTGGCCTCAATGAGCTCCCAAATGTCCAGTTGCAGAATTGACAAAAATAGTGTTTCCCAACTGCTGACTCAAAAGAAAGTTTTCCCTTTCTGAAATGAATGCACACATCACAAAGCAGTTTCTCAGAAAGCTTCCTTATACTTTTTATCTGAAGTTATTTTCTTATTCACCATAGACCTCAAAGCTCTCCCAAATATCTGTTCACACATACTACAAAAACAGTGTTTCCAAACAGCTGAATTAAAAGAAAGTTAAGAAAGTCTGTGAGATGAATGCCCACATCACAAAGCAGATCCTCAAATAGCTTCCTTCAAGTTTTTATCCTGGGTTATTTACCTTTTTGCCATTGGCCTGAATGAGCTCCCAAATTTCCATTTGCAGAATGCACATAAACAGTGTTTCTAAACTGCTGAATCAAAAAGAAGGTTTAACTCTGTGAGATGAATGCACACATCACAGAGAAGTTTCACAGAAAGCTTCTTTCTAGTTTTTATCTGAAGATATTTTCTTTTTCACCATGGGCCTCAAAGCACTCCCAAATATTCCTTCTCAGATTCCACAAAAACAGTTTTTCAAAACTATTGAATGTAAAGAAAGGTTTAACTCTGGGAGATAAATGCACACATCAAAAAGTTGTTTCTCAGATAGCTCCCTTCTAGTTTTTGTCCTGGGATACTCACTTTTTTGCCATTTGCTTCAGTGAGCTCACGAATGTCCATTCTCAGAAAGGACTAAACCAGTATTTCCAAACTGCTGAATCAAAGAAAGCTTTAACTCTGTGAGATGAATGCCCACATCACAAAGCAGTTTCTCAGAAAGCTTCATTCTAGTTTTACCTGAAGTTATTTTCTTTTTCACCATAGGCCTCAATGCACTCCCAAACATCCCTTCTAAGATTCTACAAAAACAGGTTCCAAATTGCTGAATGAAAAGAAACGTTTCACTCTGTGAGATGAATGCACTCAATACAAAGTGGTTTCTGAGATAGTTTCCTTCTGGTTTCACCCTGGGATATTCGCTTTTTCACCATTGGCCTCAATGAGCTCCCAAATGTCCATTTTCAGAAAGAACAAAAACAGTGTTTCCAAACTGCTGAATTAAAAGAAAGGTTTACTCTGTGAGATGAAGGCACACAACACAAAGCAGTTTCAAAGAAAGCTTCTTTCTACTTTTAATTTGAAGATAATTTCTTTTTCACCATCGACCTCAATGAGCTCCCAAATATCCCTTTGCAGTTTCTACAAAAACGGTGTTTCCAAACTGCTGAGTGAAAAGAAACATTTAATTCTGTGAGATGAATGCACATATCAAAACCTGTTTCTCAGATAATTTCCTTCAGGTTTTTTTTTCCTGGGATATTCACCTTTTCACCATTGGCCTCAAGAGCTCCCAAATTTCCATTTGCAGAATGGACAAATACAGTGTCTCCAACCTCTGAATCAAAAGGAAGGTTTAACTCTGTGAGGTGAATGCACACATCACAAATCAGTGTCTCAGAAACCTTCTTTCTTATTTTCAGCTGAAGATATTTTATCTTTCACCATAGGCCTCCATGTGCTCCTAACTATCCCTTCACAGATTATACAAAAAAAAATGCTTCCAAATTGCTGAATGAAATAGAGGTTTTAGTCAGCCAGATGAATGCATACACCAAAAAGCATTTTCTCAAACAGTTTCTTTGTAGTTTTTATCCTGGGATATTCACTTTTTCACCATTGGCCTCAATGAGCTCCCAAGTGACCATCCACAGAAAAGACAAAAAGAATGTTTTGAAACTGCTGAATCAAAAGAAAGTTTCATCTCTGTGACATGAATGCATACATCACAAAGCAGCTTCTCAGAAAGCTTTTTCCTGCTTTTTATCTGAAGCTATTTTCCTTTTCACCTTAGGCCTCAATGTACTTCCAAATATCCCTTCAAAGTTTCTACAAAAACAGTGTTTCCAAACTTCCGAGTGAGAAGAAAGGATTAACTCTGTGAGATGAATGCACACATCACAAAGCAATTTCTCACATAGCTTCCTTCTAGTATTTATCCTGGGATATTCGATTTTTTGCCATTGGCTCAATGAGCTGCCAAATGTCCATTTGCAGGATGGACAAAAACAGTATTTCCAAACTGCTGAATCAAGAGAAAGGTTTAACTCTGTGAGATGAAAGCAAACATCACAGAGCAGTTTCTCAGAAAGCGTCTTTCTACTTTTTGTCTTAAGATATTTTCTTTTTCATCATAGATCTCAAAGCACTCCAAAATAAACCTTAACAGATTCTACAAAAATAGTGGTGTTTCCAAACTGCTGAATGAGAAGAAAGGATTAACTATGAGAGATGAATTCACACATCACAAAGCAGTTTCTCAGATAGCTTCTTTGGAGTTTTTAATCCTAGGATATTTACTTTTCCTCCTTTGGCCTCAATGAGCTCCCAAATTTCCATTCACAGAATGGACAAAAACAGTATTGCCAAACTGCACAATCCAAAGAAAGTTTTAACTCTGTGAGATGAAAACACAAATAACAAAGCAGTTTCTCAGAAAGCTTCTTTCTAGTTTTTGTCAGAAGATATTTTCTTTTTCATCATATGCTTCAAAGCACTCCAAAATATCCCTTCACGGATTCTACAAAAAAAGTTTAACTCTGTGAGGTGAATGCACCCATCACAGAGCAGTTTCTCAGAAAGTTTCTTTCTACTTTTTACCTTAAGACATTTTCCTTTTCACCATAGGCCTCAATGTGCTATGAAATATTCCTTCGCAGATTCTACAAAAACAGTATTTCCAAACTGCTGAATGAAAAGAAAGGTTTAACTCTGTGAGATGAATGCACACATCACAGAGTTGTTTCTCAGATAGCTTCCTTCTAGTGTTTACCCTCGGATATTCTATTTTTTGTCATTAGCCTCAATGATCTCCCAAATGTCCATTTGCAGAATGGACAAAAAGAGTGTTCTCAAACTGCTGAATCAAAAGAAAGTTTTAACTCTGTGTGATGAAAGCCACCATCACAAAGCAGTTTCTCTGAAAGTTTCTATTTTTTATTTGAAGATATTTTCTTTTTCACCATAGGCCTCAATACACTCTGAAATATCCCTTGGCAGGTTCTAGAAAAAGAGTGGTCTCAAACTACTGGATCAAAACAAAGGTTTAACTCTGTGAGATGAATGCATACATGACAAAGCAGATTCTCAGAAAGCTTCTGTCTGGTTATCATTTGAAGATATTTCCTCTTTCACCTTAGGACTGAATGCACTCTGAAATATCCCTTCACAGATTCTACAAAAACAGTGTTTCCAAACTCCTGGATCAAAAGAAAGGTTAAACTCTGTGAGACGAATGCACATATCACAAAGTAGTTTCTCAGAAAGCTTCTTTCTACTTTTTACTTAAGATATTTTCTTTTTCACCATAGGTCTCAGTCTGCCCCCAAATACACTTTGGAGATGCTACAAAAACAGTGTTTCAAAACTGCTGAATGAATAGAAATGTTTAACTGTGTGAGATGAATGCACACATCACAAAGTGGTTTCTCAAATAGCTTCCTTATAGTGTTTATCCTGGGATATTCACTTTTTCTCCACTGGCCTCAATGAGCTCCCAAATGCCCATGCACAGAAGGGACAAAAACAGTGTTTCCAAGTGATTGAATCAAAAGAAAGGTTTAGCTCTGTGAGATGAATGCACACATGACAAAACAGTTTGCCAGAAAGCTTCTTTCTAGTTTTTATCTGAAGATATTTTCTTTTTCACCATAGGCGTCAATGCACTCTGAAATATCCCTTATCAGATTCTTAAAAAAACAGTGTTTCCAAACTTCTGAATGAGAAGAAAGGATTAACTCTGTGAGAGGAATGCACACATCACAAAGCATTTTCTCAGGTAGCTTCCTTCTAGTGTTTCTCCTGGGATATTCAATTTCTCACCATTGGCCTCAATGAGCTCCCAAATGTCCATTCACAGAATGGACAAAAACAGTGTTTCCAAACTGCTGAATCAAAAGAAAAGTTTAACTCTCTGAGATGGATGCACACATCACAAAGGAGTTTCCCAGAAAGATTCTTTGTAGTTTTTATATGAAGATATTTACATTTTCACCATAGGCCCCAATGGGCTCCCAAATATCCCTTTGTAGATACTACAAAAACAGTGTTTTCAAACTGCTGAATGAAAAGAATGGTTTAACTCTGTGAGATGAATGCACACATCACAAAGCAGTTTCTCAGATAGTTTCCTTGTAGTTTTTAACCTGGGATATTTGCTTTTTCTCCACTGCCCTCAATAAGCTCCCAAATGTCCTTTCACAGAATGGTCAAAAACACTGTTTCAAAACTGTTGATTTAAAAGAAAGGTTTAACTCTGTGAGATGATAGCCCATAGCACAAAGCAGTTTCTCACAGTTCTTCTGTCTAGTTTTTGTTTGAAGATAATTCTTTTATCATCATAGGCTCCAATTCGCTCTGAAATATCCCTTCCCAGATCCTACAAAAGCAGTGCTTCCAAACGTCTGAATGAAAAGAATTGTTTAACTCTGATAGATGAATGCACACATCTCAAAGCGTTTTCTCATGTAGCTTCCTTCGAGTTTTTACCCTGGGATATTCCCTTTTTTGCCTTTGGCCTCAATCACGTACAAAATGTCCATTCGCAGAATGGACAAAAAGAGTGTTTCCAAATTGCTGAATCAAAAGAAAGGTTTAACTCTGTGAGGCGAATGCACCTATCACAGAGCAGTTTTTCAGAAAGCTTCTTTCTAGTTTTTTTGTCTTAACATATTTTCTTTTTCACCATAGGTCTCCATGCACTCCCCAATATCCCTTCACAGATTCTACAAAAAAAGTGTTTCCAAACTGCTGAATGTAAGTAGAGGTTTAACTCTGGGAGATGAATGCACATATCACAAAGTGGTATCTCAGATAGCTTCCTTGAAGTCTTCATCTTGGGATATTTGCTTTTTCCACACTGGCCTCAAAGATGTCCCAAATTTCCATTAGTAGAATGGACAAAAGCAGTGTTTCCAAACTGTTGAAACAAAAGAAATGTATAACTCTGTGAGATGAAAGCACATACCACAAAGCAGTTTCTCAGAAACTTTCTGTCTAGGTTTTATTTGAAGATATTTTCTTTTTCACCATATGCCCCAATGTGCTCCAAAATATCCCTTTGCAGATCCTACAAAAACAGTGTTTCCAAACTGCTGGACCAAAGAAAGCTATGAATATGTGAGGTGAATGCACCCATCACAGAGCAGTTTCTCAGAAAGCTTCTTTCTACTTTTTATCTTCAGATTTTTTTCACCATAGGTCTCAATGTGCTCCCAAATATCCCTTCACAGATTCTAAAAAAACAGTGTTTCCAAACTGCTGAATGAATGCAATGGTTTAACTCTGCAAGATGAATGCACACATCACAAAGCAGTTTTTCATATAGCTTCCTTGAAGTTTTTAACCAGTGATATTCACTTTCTCTCCTTTGGCCTCAATGAGCGCCCTAATGTCCATTCACAGAATGGACAAAAACAGACTTTCAAAGCACAGAATGAAAAGAAATGTTTAACTCTGTGAGATGAAAGCACACATCACAAATCAGTTTCTCAGAAAGCTTCTTTCTAGTTTTTATCTGAACATATTTTCTTTTTAACCATAGGCCTCAGTGCACTCCAAAATACCCCTAAACAGATTAAACAAAAACAGAGTTTCCAAACTGCTGAACTTAAAGAAAGGTTTCATTCTGTGAGATGAATGCACACATCACAAAGTGGTTTCTCAGATAGCTTACTTGATGTTTTTATCCTGGGATATTCGCTTTTTCTCCATTGGCCTCAATGAGCTCCAAAATGTCCATTGGCAGAATGGACAAGGCAGTCTTTCCAAACTGCTGAATGAAAAGAAATATTTAACTCTGAGATGAAAGCACACATCACAAAGCAGTTTCTCAGGAATGCTCTTTCTAGTTTTTGTCTAAAGATGGTTTCTTTTTCACCATGGGCCCCAAAGTGCTCCAAAATATCCCTTTGCAGATTCTACAAAAACTGTGTTTCCAAATCACTGAATGAAAAGAAACATCTAACGCTGTGAGATAAATACACACATCTCAAAGCAGTTTCTCATGTAGCTTCCTTCTAGTTGTTACCCTGGGACATTTGTTTTTTTGTCATTGGCCTCAATCAGCTACAAAATGTCCATTCACAGAATAGGCAAAAACAGTGTTTCAAAACTGCTGAATCAAAAGAAATGTTTACCTCTGTGAGATGAATACACTCATCACAGAATGGTTTCTCAGAAAGCTTATTTCTAGTTTTTATCTTAAGATATTTTCTTTTTCACCATAGATCTCCATGCACTCCCAAATATCACTTCCAAGATTGTACAAAAACAGTGTTTCAAAACTGCTGATTGCAAGGAAATGTTTGACTCTGTGAGATGAATGCAAACATCACAAAGTGGTTTCTCAGGTACCTTCCTTGAAGTTTTTATCCTGGGATATTCACTTTTTCTCCATTGGCCTCAATGAGCTCCCAAATGCCCATTGGCAGAATGGACAAAAACAGTGTTTCCAAAGTGTTGAATCCAAAGAAAGGTTTAACTCTGTGAGATGAAAGCACACATCACAAAGCAGTTCTCAGAAAGCTGCTCTCTAGTTTTTATTTGAAGATATTTTCTTTTCCACCATAGGCCTCAATACACTCCAAAATAACCCTTCACAGATCCTACAAAAACAGTGTTTCCAAACTGCTGGATCAAAAGAAAGGTTTAACTCTGTGAGATGAATGCACACATCACAAAGCAGTTTCTCAGAAAGATTCTTTCTAGTTTTTATATGAAGATATTCCCTTTTTCACCCTAGGCCTCAATGGGCATCCAAATATCCCCACACATATTCTGCAAAAACAGTGTTTCCAAACTGCTGGATTAATTAATTAAAGGTTTAATTCTGTGAGGTGAATGCATACATTAGAGAGTGGTTTCTCAGAAATTTTCTCTCTACTTTTTATCTGACGATATTTTCTTTTTAACCATAGTTCTCAACATGCTCCCAAATATCCCTTCAAAGATTCTATGAAAACAGTGTTTCCAAACAGCTGAATGAAAGGATCCATTTAGCTCTGTAAGATGAATGCACACATCACAAAGTGGTTTTTCAGATAGCTTCCTTGTATTTTTTATTCTGCGATATTCCCTTTTTCTCCATTGTCCTAAATGAGCTCCCAAATGTCAATTCACAGAATGGACAAATATAGTGTTACAAAACTGCTGAATAAAAAAAAAAAAGTTTAACTCTGTGAGATGAAAGCACACATCACAATGCAGTTTGTCAGAAAGCTTCCTTCTACTTTTTATCTGAAGTTTTTTTTTCACCTTAGGAATCAATACACTCTGAAATATCCCTTCACAGATTCTACAAAAACAGGGTTTCCAAACTGCTGAATGCAAAGAAAGGTTTAACTGTGCAAGATGAATACACACATCACAAAGCAGTTTCTCAGATAGCTTCCATGAAGTTTTTATCCAGTGATATTCACTTTCTCTCCATTGGCCTCAATGAGCTCCCAAAAGTCCAGTCACAGAATGGACAAAAACAGTGTTTCCAAACTGCTTAATCAAAAGAAAATTTTAAGTGTGTGAGTTGAATGCACACATCACAAAGCAGTTTCTCAGAAAGCTTCCTTTTAGTTTTTATATGAAGATATTTACTTTTTCACCATAGGCCTCAATGGGCTCCCAAATATCACTACACGGATTCTACAAGAACAGTGTTTGCAAACTGCAGTGTTTGCAAACTGCAGAATCAAAAGAAAGGTTTAACTCTGTGAGATGAATGCACACATCAAAAAGCCATTTCTCAGATATCTTTCTTGAAGTTTTTATCATGGGATATTTGTTTTTTCTCCTTTGGCCTCAATGAGCTCTCAAATGTCCATTCCAAGAATGGGCCAAAACAATCTTTCAAAAAGGTTGAATGAAAAGAAATGTTTAACTCTGTGAGATGAAAGCATACATCACAAAGCAGTATCTCAGAAAGCTTCCTGCTAGTTTCTATCTGAAGATATTTTCTTTTTCACCATAGACCCCAATGTGCTCCAAAATATCCCTTCACAGATTCTACAAAAGCAATGTTTTTATACTGCTGAGTGAAAAGAAATGTTTAACTCTGAGAGTTTAATGCACACATCTCTAAGTGGTTTCTCATGTAGCTTCCTTCTAGTGTTTACCCGGGGATATTCCCCTTTTTTGCCTTTGGCCTCAATCAGCTACGAAATGTCCATTTGCAGAATGGACAAAAACGGGGTTTCCAAACTGCTGAATGAAAAGAAAGGTTTACCTCTGTGAGGTGAATGCACCCATTACTGAGCAGTTTCTCAGAAAGCTTCTTTCTAGTTTTTATCTTAAGATATTTTCTTTTTCACTGTAGGTCTCCATGCACTCCCAAATATCCCTTCGCAGATTCTACAAAAACAGGGTTTCCAAACTGCTGAGTGTAAGGAAAGGTTTAACTCTGGGAGATGAATGCACACATCACAAAGCAGTTTCTCAGATGGCTTCCTTGTAGTTTGTATCCTGGGATATTTGCTTTTTCTCCTTTGGCCTCAATGATCTCCCAAATGTTCATTGGCAGAATGGACAAAAGCAGTGTTCCCAAACTTTTGAATCAAAATAAACGTTTAACTCTCTGAGATGGAAGCACGCATCACAAAGCAGTTTCTCATAAAACTTCTTTCTAGTTTTTATCTGAAGATATTCACTTTTTTACCATAGGCCTCAATGGGTTCCCAAATATCCCTTCACAGATTCTACAAAAACAGTGTTTCCAAACTGCTGCATCAATAGAAAAGTTTAACTCTGTGAGGTGAATCCCCATCCCCGAGTAGTTTCTCAGAAAGCTTCTTACTAATTTTTATCTTAGGATATTTACTTTTTCAACTTAGGTCTCAATGTGCTCCCAAATATCCCTTTGCAGATTCTACAAAAAAAAAGCATTTCCAAACTGATGAATGAAAAGAAAGGTTCAACTCTGTGAGGTGAATGCACACATCACAAAGTGGTTTCTCAGATAGCTTCCTTGTGGTTTTTATTCTGTGATATTTTCTTTTTCTCCATTGGCCTCAATGAGCTCCTAAAAGTCCAGTCACAGAATTGGAGAAAAACAGTTTTTCCAAACTGCAGAATGAAAAGAAAAATTTAACTCTGTGAGATGAATGCACACATGACAAAGCAGTTTCTCAGAAAGCTTCTTTTTAGTTTTTATATGAAGATATTTACTCTTTCACCATAGGCCTCAAAGGGCTCTGAAATATCACTTCGCAGATTCTACAAAACTGTGTTTCCAAACTGCTGGATCAAAAGAAAGGTTTAAATCTGTGAGGTGAATGCACCCATCACAGAGCAGTTTGTCAGAAAGCTTCTTTGTAGTTTTTATTTGAAGATATTTTCTTTTTCACCATAGGCCTGAATGCACTCCAAAATATCCCTTAACAGATTCTACAAAACAGTGTTTCCAAACTGCTGAATGAAAGGAAACTTTTAACTCTGTGAGATGAATGCACACATCACAAAGCAGTTTCTCAGATACCTTCCTTCTAGTGTTTATCCTGGGATATTAGCTTTTTTGCCATTGGCCTCAATCAGCTACCAAATGTCCATTCACAGAATGGACAAAAATGATGTTTCCAAACTGCTGAATCTAAAGAAAGGTTTAACTCTGTGAGGTGAATGCACACATCACAAACCGGTTTCTCAGATAGTTTCCTTCAAGTTTTTATCCTGGGATATTTCCTTTTTCTCTGTTGACCTCAATGAGCTCCAAAATATCCGCTTGCAGAATGGACAAAAACAGTGTTTCAAAACTGTTAAATCAAAAGAAATGATTAATTCTTTGAGATGAAATCACACATCATGAAGCAGTTTCTCAGAAAGCTTTTCTTTAGTTTTTATTTGAAGATACTTTCTTCTTCACCATGGGCCTAAATATGCTCCAAAATATCCCTTTGCAGATTCTACAAAAACAGTGTTTCCAAACTGTTGAATCAAAAGAAAGGGTTAACTCTTTGAGATGAATGCACACATCACAAGGTGGTTGCTGTGTTTATCCTGGGATATTAGATTTTTTGCCAGTGGCCTCAATCAACTACTAAATATCCATTCACATAATGGACATAAACAGTGTTTCTAAACTCCTGAATTGAAAGAAACTTTTAACTCTGTGAGGTGAATGCACCCATCACAGACCAGTTTCTCAGAAAGCTTCCTTCTACTTTTCATCTTTTTTTTTTGAGATGGTGTCTCACTCTGTCCCCCAGGCTAGAGTGCAGTGGTGAAATCTCAGCTCACTGCAATCTCTGCCTCCCAGGTTCATGCCATTCTCCTGCTTCAGCCTCCCAAGTAGCTCAGATTACAGGCACCAGCCACCACGCCCAGCTAATTTTTTTGTATTTTTAGTAGAGACGGGGTTTCACCATGTTAGCCAGGATAGTCTCTATCTCCTGAACTCGTGATCTGCCTGCCTTGGCCTCCCAAAGTGCTGGGATTACAGGCTTGAGACACCACACCCCGACCTACTTTTTATCTTAAGATATTTTCTTTTTCACCACAGGTCTCAATGCACTCCCAAATGCCCCTTTGCAAATTCTTCAAAAAACAGTGTTTCCAAACTGCTGAATGAAAGGAAAGGTTTAACTCTGCAAGATGAATGCACACATCAAAAAGCAGTTTCTCAGATAGCTTCCATGGAATTTTTATTCTGGGAAATTCCCTTTTTCTCCATTGACCTCAATGAGCTCCCAAATATCTATTCGCAGAATGGACAAAAAGTGTTTCAAAACTGTTGAATCAAAAGAAAGGATTAATTCTGTGGGATGAATGGAGCCCTTTGCAGATTCTAAAAAACAGTGTTTCCAAACTGCTGGATCAAAAGAAAGGTTTAACTCTGTGAGGTCAATGCACCCATCACAGAGCAGTTTCTCAGAAACCTCCTTTCTACTTTTTATCTTAAGATATTTTCTTCTGCAACATAGGTCTCAATAGGCTGCAAAATATCCCTTCACACATTCTGCAAAAACAGTGTTTCCAAACTGCTGAATGAAAAGAAATGTTTCACTCTGTGAGATGAATGCACACATCACAAAGCAGTTTCTCAAGTAGCTTTTTATCCTCAAGTAGTTTTTATCCTGGGATATTCAATTTTTTGCCATTGGCCTCAATCACCTGCAAAATGTCCATTTGCAGAATGGACAAAAACAGTATTTCCAAACTGCTGAATCAAAAGAAAGGTTTAAATCACCAAGATTAATGCACCCATCACAAAGTGGTTTCTCAGATAGCGTTCTTGAAGTTTTTATCCTGTGATATTCACTTTTTCTCCACTTGCCTCTATGTGTTCCCAAATGTCCATTCTCAAAATGGACAAAAACAGTCTTTCTAACTGCTGAATGAAAAGAAATATTTAACTCTGTGAGATAAAGCACACATCACAAAGCAGTTTCTCAGAAATGTTCTGTCTAGTTTTTATCTGAAGATATTTTCCTTTTAAACATAGGCCTCAATGCGCTCTGAAATATTCCTTAACAAATTCTACAAAAACAGTGTTTCCAAATTGCTTAAGGTAAAGAAAGTTTAAATCTGTGAGGTGAATGCTCACATCACAAAGTGGTTTCTCAGATAGATTCCTTGAAGTTTTCATCCTGGGACATTTGCTTTTTCTCCATTGGACTCAATGAGCTCCCAAATATCCATTCACAGAATAAACAAAAACAGTCTTTCCAAACTACTGAATGAAAAGAAATATTTAATTCTGTGAGATGAAAGCAGACATCACAAAGCACTTTCTCAGAAAGGACGTTTCTAGTTTATATCTGAAGATATTTTCTTTTTTACCATGGGCCTTAACATGCTCCAAAATATCCCTTCTCAGATTCTACAAAAACTGTGTTTCCAAATGGCTGAATGATAAGAAAGTATAAACTGTGCAAGATGAATGCACACATCACAAAGTGGTTTTCTCAGATAGCTTTCTTCCAGTATTTATCCTGGGAAATTTGATATTTCACCATTGGCCTCAATGAGCTCCCCAATGTCCATTCACAGAATGGACAAAAACAATGTTTACAAACTGCTGAATAAAAATAACGATTTAACTCTGAGAGATGAAAGCACACATCACAAGGCAGTTTCTCAGAAAGCTTTCTTCTACTTTTTATCTGAAGATATTTTCTTTTTCACCCTTGGCCTCAATGCACTGGGAAATATCCCTTCACAGATCCTAAAAATACAGTGTTGCCAAACTGCCGAATGTAAAGAAAGGTTTATCTCTGTGAGATGAATGCACACATCACAATGCAGTTTCTCAGAAACATTATTTCTAGTTTTTATAAGAAGTTATTTACTTTTTCACTGTAGACCTCAATGGGCTCCCAAATATACATTTGGAGATTCTACAGAAAAAGAGTTTCCAAACTGCTCGACCTCTGTGAGTTGAATGAAACCATCACAGAGAAGTTTCTCAGAAACTTTCTTTCTACTTTTTATCTTCAGATTTTTTTTCACCAAAGATCTCCAAGTGCTCCCAAACATCCCTTTGCAGATTCAACAAAAATGTGCTTCAAAACAACTGAATGAAAAGAAATGTTTAACTCTGTGAGATGAATGCACACATCACAAATTTATTTCTCAGATAACTTCCTTGTAGGTTTTATCCTGGGATATTTTCTTTTCCTCCACTGGCCTCAATGAGCTCCCATATGTCCATTCACACAATGGACAAAAACAGTGTTTCCAAACTGTTCAATCAAAAGAAAGTTTTAACTCTGTGAGATGAAAGCACACATCACAAATCAGTTTCTCAGAAAGTTTCTGTCTAGTTATTATTTGAAGATATTTCCTTTTTCAGCCTAAGTCTCAATGCACTCCAAAATATCCCTTCACAGAATCTACAAAAACAGGGTTACCAAACTGCTGGATCAAAAGTAAGGTTTAACTCTGGGGGATGAATGCATACATCACATAGAAGTTTATCAGAGAGCTTCTTTCTAGTTTTTATATGAAGATATTTACATTTTCACCGTAGGCCTCAAATGGCTCCCAAATATCCCTTCATAGATTCTACAAAAACAGTGTTTCCAAACTGCTGAATGGAAAGAAAGGTTTAACTCTGCTAGATAAAGGCACACATCACAAAGTAGTTTCTCAGTTAGCTTCCTTGTAGTTTTTATCCTGGGATATTTGCTTTTCCTCCATTGGCTTCAATGAGCTCCCAAATGTCCATTCACAGAATGGACAAAAACAGTGTTTCCAAACTGGTGAAACTGAAGAAAATTTTAACCCTGTGAGATGAAAACACACATCACAAAGCAGTTTCTCAGAAAGCTTCTGTCTAGTTATGGTTTGAAGATATTTCTTTTTTCACCATAGGCCTCAATGTGCTCTGAAATATCCCTTTGCAGATTCTACAAAAACAGTGTTTCCAAACTGCAGGATCAAAAGAAAGGTTTAACTCTGTAAGGTGAATGCACACATCATGGAATAGTTTCTCAGAAAGCTTCTTTCTACTTTTTATCTTAAAATATTTTCTTCTACACCATAGGTCTCAACGCACTACAAAATATCCCTTTGCAGATTACTCAAAAGAGTGTTTCCAAACTGCTGAATGTAAGGAAAGGTTTAACTCTGTGAGATGAATGCACATACCACAAACTGATTTCTTAGATAGCTTCCTTGATGTTTTTATCCTAGGATATTCACATTTTCTCCATTGGCCTCAATGAGGTCCAAAATGTCCATTCACAGAATGGACAAAAACAGTGTTTCCAAACTACTGAATGAAAAGAAACGTTTAACTCTGTGAGATGAAACTACACATCACAAAGCAGTTTCTCAGAAAGCTTCTTTCTAGCTTTTATCTCAAGATATTTTCTATTTCACCATAGGCCTCAATGCACTCCCAAATATTCCTTTGCAGAATGGACAAAAACAGTGTTTCAAAACTGTTGAATCAAAAGAAAGTGTTAACTCTGTGAGATAAATGTACACATCACAAAGCAGTTTCTCAGAAAGCTTCTTTCTAGTTTTTATATGAAAATATGTACTTTTTCATCATAGATCTCAATGCAGTCCCAAATATTCCCTCACACGATGGACAAAAGCAGTGTTTCCAAACTATTGAATGAAAAGAAAGTTTCAACACTGTGAGATGAATGGACACATCACAAAGCAGTTTCTCACATAGCTTCCTTGAAGTTTTTATCCCAAGATATTCACTTTTGCTCCATTGGCCTCAATGATCACCAAAATAGCCATTGGCAGAATGGACAAGGACAGTGTTTACAAACATTTGAAATAAAAGAAGGTTTTAACACTGTGAGATGAAAGAACATATCAAAAAGCAGTTTCTCAGAAAGCTTCTGTCTAGTTATTATTTGAAGATATTTCCTTTTTCAACATAGACCTCAATGCTTTCCGAAATCTCCTTTTGCAGATTCTACAAAAACAGTTTTCCAAACTGCTGAATGAAAATAAAGGTTTAACTCTGTGAGATGAATGCACACATTGCAAAGCAGTTTCTCAGAAAGCCTTATTCTAGTTTTTATATGAAGATATTTACTTTTTCACCATAGGACTCAATGGGCTCCAACATACGCCCTCTCAAGGTCTACAAAAACAGGTTTTCCAAACTGCTGAATGGAAAGAATGGTTTAACTCTGCAAGATGAATGCACACATCACAAATCAGTTTCTCAGATACCTTACTTGTAGTTTTTATCTTGGGATATTCACTTGTCCTCCATTGGCCTCAATGAGCTCCCAAATGTCCATTCACAGAATGGACGAAAACAGTGTTTCCAAACAAAAAAAGTTTTCACTCTGTGAGATGAAAGCACACATCACAAAGAAGTTTCTTAGAAAGCTTCTTGGTAGTTATTATTTGAAGATATTTCCTTTTTCACCATAGGCCTCAATGTGCTCTGAAATATCCCTTTGCAGATTCTACAAAAACAGTTTTTCCAAACTGCAGGATCAAAAGAAAGGTTTAACTCTGTGAGATGAATGCACCCATCACAGAATTGTTTCTCAGAAAGCTTATTTCTACTTTTTATTTTAAGATATTCTCTTCTACACCATAGGTCACAATGCACTCCCAAATATCCCTTCACAGATTCTACAAAAACAGTGTTTCCAAAGTGTTCAATGAAAAAGAAAGGTTTAGCTCTGTGAGATGAATGCACACCTCTCAAAACAGTTTCTCAGAAAGCTTCTTTCTAGTTTTATTTGAAGACTTTTTTTTCACCACAGGCCTTAATGGGCTCCCAAATATCCCTTCGCAGAATGGAGAAAAAATGTTTCCAAGCTACTGGATCAAAAGAAAGATTTAACTCTGAGAGGTGAATACATCAATCACAGAGCAGTTTCTCAAAAAGCTTCTTTCTACTTTTTATCTTAAGATATTTTCTTCTACACCATGGGTCTCAAAGCACTCCCAAATATTCCTTCACAGATTCTACAAAAACAGTGTTTCCAAAGTGTTGAATGAAAAAGAAAAGTTTAACTCTGAGAGATGAATGCACACATCTCAAAGCAGTTTCTCAGAAAGCTTCTTTCTAGTTTTTATTTGAAGATATTTTCTTTTTCACCACATGCCTCAATAAACTCCCAAATATCCCTTTGCAGAATGGAGAAAAACAGTGTTTCAAAGCTGTTGAATAAAAAGAAAGGATTAACTCTGTGAGACGAATGCACAAATCATGAAGCAGTTTCTCAGAAAGCTTCTGTCTAGTTTTTATTTGAAGATATTTTCTTTTTCACCATAGACCTCAAAGTGCTCCCAAATATCCCTTCACAGAATGAACAAAAACAGTGTTACAAAACTCTTGAAACAAAAAAAGAATTAACTCTGTGAGATGAATGCACACATCACAAAGCAGTTTGTCATAGAGCTTCCTTCAAGATTTTATATGAAGACATTTACTTTTTCTTCATAGGACTCAATGGGATCCCTTATGCCCCTTCACAGATTCCGCAAAAACTGTTTCCAAATGGCTATTAGAAAAGAGAGATTTACCACTGTGAGGTGATTGCACACATCACAGAACAGTTTCTCAGAAAGCTTCATACTAGTTTTAAGATATTTTCTTCTACACCATAGGTCTCAATGTGCTCCCAGATATCCCATGGCATAATCTACAAAAACCGTGTTTCCAAACTGCTGAATGAAAAGCAAGATTTAACTCTGGAGATGAATGCACACATCAGAAAGCAGTTTCTCAGCAAGCTTGTTCTAGTTTTTCTCTGAAAATATTTTCTTTTTCACCATAGGCCTCAATAGCTCCCAAATATCCCATTGCAGAATGGACAAAAACAGTGTTTCAAAATTGTTGAAACAAAAGAAAAGAATATCTCTGTGAGATGAATGCACACATCACAAAACAGTTTCTCTGAAAGCTTCTCTCTAGTTTTTATTTGAAGATATTTCCTTTTTCACAGCAGGCCTCAATGCGCTCCAAAATATCCCTTCGCAGATTCTGCAAAATCAGTGTTTCCAAAGTGCTGGATCGAAAGAAAGGTTTACCTCTGTGAGATGAATGCACCCATCACAGAACGGTTTCTCAGAAAGCTTATTTCTAGTTTTTATCTTAAGATATTTTCTTTTTCACCATAGGTCTCCTTGCACTCCCAAATATCACTTCCAAGATTCTACAAAAACAGTGTTTCCAAACAGCTGAATGAAAAGGAAGGTTTAACTCTCAAGATGAATGCATACATCACATAGCGGTTTCTCACCTGGCTTCCTTGACTTTTTTATCCTGGGATATTCACTTTTTTTCCTTGGAGTCAATCATCTCCAAAATGGACATTGGTAGAATGGACAAAAACAATGTTTCCAAACTATTGAAACAAAAGAATCTTTATCTCTGTGAGATGAAAACACACATCACAAAGCAGTTCCTCAGAAAGCTTCTATCTAGTTATGGTTTGAAGATATTTCCTTTTTCACCATAGGCCTCAATGGGCTACCAAATATACCTTCACAGAATGGACAAAAATAGTGTTTCAAAACTGTTGAATCAAAAGAAATGTTTAACTCTGTGAGATGAATGCACAAATCACAAAGCTGTCTCTCAGAAAGCTTCTTTCTGGTTTTTATGTGAAGATATTGACTTTTTCACTGTAGGACTCAAAGGTCTCCCAAATATCCCTTTGCAGATTTTACAAAAAAGGTTTTGCAAACTGCTGAATGAAAAGAAAGGTTTAAATATGCGAGATGAATGCATACATCACAAATCAGTTTCTCAGATTACTTCCATGTAGTTTTTTTCCTGGGATATTCACTTTTCCTCCATTCATCTCAAAGAGCTCCCAAATGTCCATTCACAGATTGGACAAAGCAGTGTTTACAAACCGTTGAAACAAAAGAAATTTTTACTCTGTGTGATGAAAGCAGACATCACAAATCGGTTTACCATAAAGCTTCTGTCTAATTATTATTTGAAGATGTTTACTTTTTCACCGTAGGCCTCAATGCACTCCTAAATATCCCTTCACAGATTCTACAAAAACAGTGTTTCCAAATTGCTGAATGAAAAGAAAATTCTAACCCTGTGAGATGAATTCACACATCACAAGGAAGTTTAACATAAAGCTTCTTTCTAGTTATTATATGAAGATATTTACATTTTCACCATAGGCCTCAAAGGGCTCCCAAATATCCCTTTGCAGATTCTACAAAAACAGTGGTTCTAAACTGCTCCTTCAAAAGAATGGTTCAACTCTGTGAGAGGAATGCACACTTCACAAATTCGTCTCTCACAAAATTTCTATCTAGTTTGTATCGGAAGATATTTCATTTTTCACCACAGGCCTCCATATGAATCCAAATATCCCTTCACAGATTCTACAAACACTGTGTTTCCAAACTGCTCAATGAAAGAATGGTTCAACTCTGTGAGATGAATGCACACATCAAAAAGCAGTTCCTCAGGAACTCTTTTTTTAGTTTGTATTGGAAGATATTTCCTTTTTCACAGTAGGATTCAATGCACTCCCAAATATCCCTTTGCAGATTCTAGAACAACAGAGTTTCCAAACTGCTCAATGAAAAGAAATGCTTAACTCTGTGGGATGAATGCACACATTAGAGATTATTCTCTAAGAAAGCATCTGTCTAATTTGTATCAGAAGATATTTCCTTTTTCACCACTAGCCTTCATGCAAATTCAAATATCCCTTCACAGATTCTACAAACACTCTGCTTCCAAACTGCTCAATCAAAAGAATGGTTCAGCTCTGTGAGATGAATGCACACATCATACAGCCATTTTTCAGAAAGCTCCTTTCTAGTTTTTATGTGAGAATATTTCTTTTTTCACCATAGACCTCAAAGCACTCACAAATATCCCTTTGCAGATTCTAGAAAAACAGTAGTTCCAAACTGCTCAATCAAAAGAATGGTTTAACTCTGTGAGAGGAATGCACACATCACAAAGCAGTTTCTCAGAAAGCTTCCTATGAGTTTTTAGGTGAAGATATTTCCTTTTTCATCATAGGCCTGAAAGCACTCTGAAATATCCCTTTGCAGATTCTACAAAAACAGTGTTTCCAAAATGCTCCATCAAAGGAAAGTTTTAATTCTGTGAAATGAATGCATATATCACAAAGCAGTTTCTCAGAATGCTCCTTTCTAGTTTTTATGTGAGGATATTTCCTTTTTCACCGTAAGACTCAAAGGGCTCCCAAATATCCCTTTGCAGATTCTACTAAAACAGTGGTTCTAAACTGCTCCTTCAAAAGAATGGTTCAACTCTGTGAGAGGGATGCACACTTCACAAATTCGTCTCTCACAAAATTTCTGTCTAGTTTGTATCGGAAGATATTTCATTTTTCACCACAGGCCTCCATGCAAATCCAAATATCCCTTCACAGATTCTACAAACACTGTGTTTCCAAACTGCTCAGTGAAAGAATGGTTCAACTCTGTAAGATGAATGCACACATCACAAAGCAGTTCCTCAGAAACTCTTTCTAGTTTGTATTGGAAGATATTTCCTTTTTCACCATACACCTCAATATGCTCCTAAATATCCTTTTGCAGATTCTGAAAGAACAGAATTTCCAAACTGATCATTGAAAAGAAATGTTTAACTCTGTGGGATGAATACACACATTACAAAGCATTCTCTCAGGAAGCTTCTGTCTAGTTTGTGTCAGAAGATATTTCCTTTTTCACCACAGGCCTCCATGTGACTCCAAATATCCCTTCACAGATTCTAGAAACACTGTGTTTCCAAACTGCTCAACCAAAATAATGGTTCAACTAGGTGAGATGAATGCACACATCACAAAGTGGTTACTCAGTAACACTTTTTCGAGTTTATTGGAAGATATTTCCTTTTTCACTACAGGCCTCTATGCACTCTCAAATATCCCTTTGCAGATTCTACAAGAACAGAGTCTCCAAACTGCTCAATGAAAAGAAAGTTTAACTCTGTGAGATGAGTGCACACATCACAAAGCAGTCTTCCAGAAAGTTTCTGCCTAGTTTGTATCAGAAGATATTTCCTTTTGCCCCCTAGGCCTCAAGGTGAATCCAAATATTCCTCCGCAGATACTTCAAACACTGTGTTTCCAAGCTGCTCAATCAAAAGAATGGTTTAACTCTGTGAGATGAATGCACGTATTACAAAGCAGTTTCTCAGAAAGCTCCTTTCTAGTTTTTATGTGAGGATATTTCCTTTTTCACCATAAGACTCGAGGGCCCCCAAATATCCCCTTGCAGATTCTCCAAAAACAGTGGTTCAAAACTGCTCCATCAAAAGAATGGTTCAACTCTGTAGGATGAGTGCACACATCACAAAGCAGTTTCTCAGAAAGCTTCCATCTTGTTTGTATCAGAAGATATTTCCTTTTGCCCCCTAGGCCTCAAGGTGAATCCAAATATTCCTTCTCAGATACTTTAAACACTGTGTTTCCAAGCTGCTCAATCAAAAGAATGGTTTAACTCTGTGAGATGAATGCACATATTACAAAGCAGTTTCTCAGAAAGCTCCTTTCTAGTTTTTATGTGAGGATATTTCCTTTTTCACCATAAGACTCGAGGGCCCCCAAATATCCCCTTGCAGATTCTCCAAAAACAGTGGTTCAAAACTGCTCCATCAAAAGAATGGTTCAACTCTGTAGGATGAATGCACACATCACAAAGCAGTTTCTCAGAAAGCTTCCATCTTGTTTGTATCAGAAGATATTTCCTTTTTCAACACAGGCCTCAATGCAAATCCAAATAATCCTTTGCAGATTCTACTAACACTGTGTTTCCATACTGCTCAATCAAAAGAATTGTTCAACTATGTGAGATGAATGCACACATCACAAAGCAGTTTCTCAAAAACTCTATTTCTAGTTTGTATCGGAAGATATTTCCTTTTTAACCATAGGCCTCAATGCACTCCCAAATATCCTTTTGCAGATTATAGAACAACAGAGTTTAAAAACTGCTCAATGAAAAGAAACTTTTAATTCTGTGGGATGAATGCACACATTACAAAGCATTCTCTCAGAAAGCTTCTGTCTAGCATGTATTGGAAGATATTTCCTTTTTCAACACAGGCATCCATGTGAAACAAAATATCCCTTCGCAGATTCTACAAACACTGTGTTTCCAAATTGCTCAATCAAAAGAATGGCTCAATTCTGTGAGATTAATGTACACATCATAAAGCAGTTTCTCAGAAACTCTCTTTCTAGTATGTATCAGAAGATAATTCCTTTTTGACCATAGGCCTCAAAGTGCTCCTAAATATCCCTCTGCAGATTCTACAAAAAGACTGTTTCCAAACTGCTCAATGAAAAGAAATGTTTACCTCTGTGAGATGAATACACTCATGACAAACCAGTTTCTCAGAAAGCTTCTGTCTAGTTTTTATGTGAAGATATATACTTTTTCAACATAGGCCACAAAGCATTCACAAATATCCCTTTGCAGATTCTACAAGAACAGAGCTTCCAAACAGCTCAATGAAAAGAAACGTTTACCTCTGTGAGATGAATGCACTCATGATAAACCAGTTTCTCAGAAAGCTTCTTTCTACTTTTTATGTGAACATATTTCCTTTTCACCATAGGCCTCAGTGCACTCCCAAATATCCCTTTGCAGATTCTACAAAAAGACTTTTTACAAACTGCTCAATCAAAATAATGGTTCAACTCTGTGGGATGAATGCATACATCACAAAGCAGTCTCTCAGAAACTCGCCAGTTTGAATCTGAAGATATTTCCTTTTTCTATCTAGGCCTCTATTCTCTCCCAAATATCCCTTTGCAGATTCTAGAAGAACAGCATTTCCAAACTACTCAATGAAAAGAAACGTTTACCTCTGTGAGATGAATGCATGCATCACAAAGCCATTTCTCAGAAAACTTCTTTCTAGTTTTTATGTGAAGATATTTCCTTTTTCAGCATAGGCTTCAACACACTGACAAATATGCCTTTGCAGATTCTAGAAGAACAGAGTTTCCAAACTGCTCAATGAAAACAAATGTTTACCCTTATGACATGAATGCACACATCACAAAGCAGTTTCTCAGAAAGCTTCTCTCTAGTTTTTATGTGAAGATATTTCCTTTTTCACCATAGGCCTCAACGTGCTCCCAAATATCCCTTTGCAGTTTCTATGAAAAGACTGTTTCCAAACTGCTCTATCTCAAGAATGGTTCAACTCTGTGAGATGAATGCACACATCAAAAAGAAGTTTCTCAGAAAGATTCTGTCTAGTTTTTATGTGAAGATATATCCTTTTTCAACACAGGCCTCAAAGCACTCACAAATATCCCTTGGCAGATTCTACAAGAACAGAGTTTCCAAACTGCTCAATGAAAAGAAAGGTTTAGCACTGTGAGATGAATGCACACATGACAAAGCAGTTTCTCAGAAAGCTTCTTTCTACTTTTTATGTGAACATATTTCCTTTTCACCATAGGTCTCAGTGCACTCCCAAATATCCCTTGCAGATTCTACAAAAAGACTTTTTCCAAACTGCTCAATCAAAACAATGGTTTAACTGTGTCAGATGAATGCAAACATCACAAAGCAGTTTCTCAGAAACTCTCTTTCCAGTTTGAATCAGAAGATATTTCCTTTTTCTATCTAGGCCTCTATGCACTCCCAAATATTCCTTTGCAGATTCTAGAAGAACAGACTTTCCAAACTGCTCAATGAAAATAAACGTTTACCTCTGTGAGATGAATGCATGCATCAAAAAGCCATTTCACAGAAAGCTTCTTTCTAGTTTTCATGTGAAGATATTTCCTTTTTCACCATAGGCTTCAATGCACTAACAAATATGCCTTTGCAGATTCTCCAAGAACAGAGTTTCCAAACTGCTCAATGAAAAGGAACGTTTACCCCTGTAACATGAATGCACACATCACAAAGCAGTTTCTCAGAAAGCTTCTCTCTAGTTTTTATGTGAAGATATTTCCTTTTTCACCATAGGCCTCAATGCATTCTTAAATATCCTTTTGCAGTTTCTATGAAAAGACTGTTTCCAAGCTTCTCAATCACAAGAATGGTTCAACACTGTGAGATGACTGCACACATCAAAAAGAAGTTTCTCAGGAAGCTTCTGTCTAGTTTTTACATGAACATATATCCTTTTTCAACATAGGCCTCAAAGCACTCATAAATATCCCTTGGAAGATTCTACAAGAACAGAGTTTCCAAACTGCTCAATGAAAAGAAAGGTTTGCCTGTGTGACATGAATGCACACATGACAAAGAAGTTTCTCAAAACCTTCCTTCTAGTTTTTATGTGAATATATTTCCTTTTCACCACAGGCCTTAGTATTCTCCCAAATACTATTTTGCAGATTCTATTAAAAGACTATTTCCAAACTGCTCAATCACAAGAATGGTTCAACCCTGTCAGATGAATGCATGCAACACAAAGAAGTTTCTCAGAAAACGTCTTTCTAGTTTTTATGTGAATATATTTCCTTTTTCACCATAGGACTCAAAGTGCTCACAAATATCCCTTTGCAGATTCTGGAAGAAAAGAGTTTCCAAACTGCTCAATGAAAAAATCGTTTAGCTCTGTGAGACGAATACACACATCACAAAGCAGTTTCTCAGAAAGCTTCTTTCTAGTTTTTATGTGAAGATATTTCTTTTTACACCATAGTTCTAAAAGCACTCCCAAATATCCCACTTCAGGTTCATATAAAAAGACTGTTTCCAAACTGCTCAATCAAAAGAATAGTTCAACTCTGTGAGATGAAAGCACACATCACAAATAAGTTTCTCAGAAAACTTCTGTCTGGTTTTTACGTGAAGAGATTTCCTTTTTCACCATAGGCCACAAAGTGCTCCAAATATCCATTTGCAGATTCTACAAAAACACTGTTTCCAAACTGCTCAATAGAAAGAAAGGTTCAGCTCTATGAGATGAAGAACACATCACAAAGTAGTTTCTCACAAAGCTTCTGTCTAGTTTTTATGTGAAGATATTTCCTTTTTCATAATAGGCCTCAATGAGCTCCAAATATCCATTTGCAGATACTATAAAAAGACTCTTTCCAAAACTGCTCAGTAGAAAGAAAGGTTCAACTCTGTGAGATGAAAGCACCCATCACAAAGAAGGTTTTCAGAAAGCTTCTGTCTAGTTTTTATGAGAAGATATTTCATATTTCATCATAGGCCTCAAAGGGCTCACTAATATCTCTCTGCAGATTCTACAAAAAGATTGTTTCCAATCTGCTCAATCAACAGTAAGGTTCATCTCTTTCATATGAATGCACACATCACAAAGAAGTTTCTCAGAAACCTTCTGTCTAGTTTTTATGTGAAGATATTTCCTATTTCACCATAGGCCTCAACTGGCTCCCAAATGTCCCTCTGCAGTTTCTACAAAAAGATTGTTTCCAAACTGCTCAATTGAAAGAAAGGTTCAACATTTGAGATGAATGTGCACATCACAAAGAATTTTCTCAGAACGCTTCTGTCTAGTTTTTATGTGAAGATATTTCCTATTTCACCATAGGCCTCAAAGGGCTCTTAAATTTCCCCTTGCAGATTCTACAAAAGGACTGTTTCCAAAGTGCTCAATCAAAAGAAATCTTCAAGTCGGTGGGATGAATCTACACATCTCAAAGCAGTTTCTCAGACTCTTTCTGTCTAGTTTTTAGGTGAAGATATTTCCTATTTCTCCATAGGCCTCAAAGGAGTCACAATATCCCTCTGCAGATTGTACAAAAAGAATACTTCCAAATTGCTTAATAAAAAGACAGTTTCAACACTTTGATATGAATGCGCACATCACAAAGAAGTTTTTCAGAATGCTTCTGTGTAGTTTTTATGTGAATGTATTTACTATTTCTCCATAGGCCTCAAAGGGCTCACAGGTATCCCTCTGCAGGTGGATGAAAAGACTGTTTCCAAACTGCTCAATCAAAAAAAAAAAAGGTTCAACTCTCTGATATGAATGCACACATCACAAAGAAGTTTCTCAAAATGCTTCTGTTTAGTTTTTATGTGAAGATATTTCCTTTTTCACCATAGGCCCCAAAGCACTCCAAATATCCATTTGCAGATTCTACAAAAAGACTGTTCCAAAACTGATGAATGAAAAGAAAGTTTCAACTCTGTGAGATGAATGCACACATTGCAAAGAAGTTTCTCAGAATGCTGCTTCCAGTTTTATGTGAAGATATTTCTTATTTCGCCACAAGCCTCAAAGGGCTCTGAAATAATATCCCTTTGCAGATTCTACAAAAAGATGGTTTCCAAACTGCTCAAAAAGGAAAGCTTCAATTCTGTGAGATGAATGCATATATTACAAAGGAGTTTGTCAAAACCTTCTGTCTAGTTTTTCTGTAAAGATATTTTCTTTTTCACCATGGGCCTCAAAGTGCTCCAAATATCAATTTGCAGACTCTAAAAAAAGACGGTTTGCAAACTGCTCAATCAAAAGAAAAATTCAACTCCGTGAGATGAATGCAGCAATCAAAAAGAAGTTTCTTAGAATGTTTCTGTCTAGTTTTTATGCTAGGATATTTCCTTTTTCACCATAGCTCTCAAACCACTCACAAATATTCCACTGCAGATTCCACAGAAAGACTGTTTCCAAACAGCTCAATCAAAAGAAAGTTCAACTCTGTGAGATGAAAGCACACATCATGATGAAGTTTCTCAGAAAAATTCTGTCTACTTTTTATGTGAGGATATTTCCTTTTTCAAGATAGGCCTTATAGTCCTTTCAAATATCCCTTTGCAGATTCTACAAAAAGACTGTTTCCAAACTTCTCAATCCAGGGAAAGGTTCAAATCTTTGAGTTCAATGCACAGATCACAAAGAAGTTTCTCAAAAAGCTTCTGTCTAGTTTTTATGTGAAGATATTTCCTTTTTCACAAAAGGCCTCAAAGCGCACTAAAATATCATTTGCAGATCCTACAAAAAGACTGTTTCCAAAATGCTCAATCTAAAGAAAGTTTCAACTCTGTGAGATGAAAGCAAACATCACAAAGAAGTTTCTCAGAAAGCTCCTGTCCAGATTTTATGTGAAGATATTTCCTTTTTCACCATAGGCCTCAAAGGGCGCTAAAATATCCCTTTGCAGAGTCCACAAAAAGAATGTTTCCAAACTGCTCAATCAAAAAAAAGGTTCAACTCAATGAGAGGAAAGCATCCATCTCAAAGAAGTTTGTCAGAAAGCTTCTGTCTAGTTTTTATGAGAAGATATTTCCTGTTTCACCGTAGGCCTCAATGGTTTCAAAATATCCCTTTGTGGATTTTACAAAAAGACAGTTTCTAATATGATAAATCAAAAGAAAGTTTCAACTCTGTGAGATGAATGCAAACATCACAAAGAAGTTTCTCAAAAGTCTTCTGTCCAGTTTTTATGTTTAGATATTTCCTTTTTCACCATATGCCTCAAACCACTCACAAATATCCCTATGCAGTATCTACAAAAATCTTATGCAGTATCTACAAAAATACCCCTATGCAGTATCTACTCTTTCCAAACTGCTCAATCAAAAGAAAGCTTCAACTCTGTAAGATGAATGCACACATCACAAAGAAGTTTCTCAGAAAACTTCTGTGGAGTTTTTTGTGCAGATATTTCCTTTTACAACATAGGCCTCAAAGCACTCCAAATATCCATTTGCAGATTCTACAAAAAGACGGTTTCCAAACTGCTCAATGAAAGGAAAGGTTCAACTCTGTGAGATGAATGCACACATCACAAAGAGGTTTCTCAGAATGCTTCTGTCTGGTTTTCATGTGAAGATATTTCCTTTTCCATCATAAGTCTCATATGGCTCCAAAATATCCCTTTGCAGATTCTACAAAAGATCTATTTCCAAACTGCTCAATCAAAAGAAAGCTTCAACTCTGTGAGATGAATGCGCACATCACAGAGAAGTTTCTCGAAAAGCTTCTGTCTAGTTTATATGTGAAGATATTTTCTTTATCCCCATCTACCTCAAAGCACTTGAAATATCAAATTTCAGACTCTACCAAAAACTGTTTGCATACTGCTCAATCAAAAGGAAGATTCAACTCTGAGACATGAATGAACACATCACAAAGAAGTTTCTCAGAATGATTGTGTCTAGTTTTTATGTGAAGATATTTCCTATTTCACCATTGGCCTCAATGGGATCACAAGTATCCCTTGGCAGATTCTACAAAAAGACTATTTCCAAAGTACTCAATCAAAAGAAAACTTCAACTGTGTGAGATGAATGCACACATCACAAAGAAGTTTCTCAGAATGATTGTGTCTAGTTTTTATGTGAAGATATTTCCTTTTACCCCATAGGCCTCAAAGCACACCAAATATCCATTTGTGGATTCTATGAAGACTGTTTCAAAACTGCTCTATCAAAAGAATTGTTCAACACTCTCAGGTGAATGCACACATCACAAAGAAGTTTCTCAGAATGCTTCTGTGTAGTTTTTGTGTGAAGATATTTCCTTTTTCCCCATAGGCCTCTAGGAAGATATTTCCTGTTTCTCCATAGGAGTCTGAAAGTGCACCAAATATCCATTTGTAGATGCTATGAAAAGACTGTTTCCAAACTGCTTTATCAAAAGAATTGTTCAACACTCTCAGATGAATGCACACATCACAAAGAAGTTTCTCAGAATGCTTCTGTCTAGTTTTTATGTGAAGATATTTATTTTTCACCATGTGCCCCAAAACACTCAGAAATATCCCTTTTCAAATTGTACAAAAAGACTTTGCAAACTACTCAGTGTAAAGAAAGGTTCAGCTCTGTGAAATGAATACAAACATCAGAAAAAAGATTCACAGAAAGCTTCTGTGTAGTTTTTATGTGAAGATATTTCCTTTTTTACCATAGACCTCAAACAACTCATAAATATCCCTATGCAGAATCTACCAAAATACTGTTCCAAACTGCTCAATCAAAAGAAAGCTTTAATCTTGTGAGATTAATGCATGCATCACAAAGAAGTTTCTCAGAATGCTTCTGTCTAGTTTTTATGTGAAGATATTTCCTGTTTCACCATAGACATCAAAGGGCTCACAAATATCCCCCTGCAGATTCTACAAAAAGACTGTTTCCAAACTGCTCAATCGACAGAAATGTTCAAGTCTGTTAGATGAATGTATACATCACAAAGAAGTTTCTCAGAATCCCTCTGTCTAGTTTTTATGTGAAGTTATTTCCTATTTCTCCATAGGTCTCAAATGGCTCACAAATATCCCTCTGCAGATTCTACAAAAAGAATGTTTCTGAACTGCTCAATTAAAGAATTCTTCAAATCTGTGAGATGAATGCACAGATCACAGAGAAGTTTCTCAGAAAGCTTCTATCTAGTTTTTATGTGAAGAGATATTTCCTTTATCACCATAGGCCTCAAAGCACCCAATATATCCATTTGCAGATTCTACAAAAAGACTGCTTCCAAACTGTTCAATCAAAAGAAAGGTTCAACTCCTTGAGGTGAATGAAAACATCACAAAGAAGTTTCTGGTAATCCTTCTGTCTGGTTATCCTGTGAATATATTTCCTATTTCACCATGGGACTCAAAGGGCTCACAAATATCCCTTTCCAGATTGTACAAAAAGACTGTTTCTTAACTGGTCAACCAAAAGAAATGTTCAAGTCTGTGAGATGAATGTACACATCACAAAGAAGTTTCTCAGGATCCTTCTGTCTAGTTTTTATGTGAAGATATATCCTATTTCTCCATAGACCTCAAAGGGCTCACAGATATCCCTCTGCAGGTGTACAAAAAGGCTTTTCCCAAACTGCTCAATCAAAAGAAAAGTTCAACTCTTTGAGATGAATACACACATCACAAAGAAGTTTTTCAGAATACTTCTGTCTAGTTTTTATGTGAAGATATTTCCTTTTCCACCATAGGCCTCAAAGCGTTCCAAATATCCATGTGCAGATTCTACAAAAAGACAGTTTCCAAACTGCTCAATCAAAAGAAAGGCTCAACTCTGTGAGATGAATGCCCACATCAAAAAGAAGTTTCTCAGTATGCTTCTGTCTAGTTTTTATGTGAAGATATTTCCTTTTTCACCATACGCCTCAAATCACTCACAAATGTCCCTATGCAGAATCTACAAAAAGACTGTATCCAAACAGCTCAATCAAAAGAAAGCTTCAACTCTGTGTGATGAATGCACACATCACAAAAAATTTTCTCACAAAACTTCTGTCTAGTCTTTTTGTGAAGACATTTCCTTTGTCACCTTAGGCCTGAAAGTACTCAAAATATCCATTTGCAGATTCTACAAAAAGACTGTTCCAAAGCTGCTCAATCAAAAGAAAGTTTCAACTCTGTGAGATGAATGCACACATCACAAAGAAGTTTCTCAGAATTCTCCTTCCAGTTTTTATGTGAAGATATTTCCTATTTCACCATAGGCCTAAAAGGGCTCTAAAATATCCCTTTGCAGATTCTACAAAAAAAAGGTTTGCAAACTGCTCAATCAAAAGAAAGCTTCAACTCTGTGAGATGAATGCACACGTTGCAAAGGAGTTTCTCAAAAAGCTTCTGTCTTGTTTTTCTGTGAATTTATTTTCTTTTTTGCCATGGGCCTCAAAGAGCTCTAAATATAAATTTGCGGACTCTACAAAAAGACTGTTTGCAAACTGCTCAATCAAAAGAACAGTTCAACTCTGTCAGATGAATGCACACCTCAGAAAGAAGTTTCTCAGAATGCTTCTTTCTAGTTTTTATGTAAGGATATTTCCTTTTTCACCATAGCTCTCAAACCACTCAAAAATATTCCACTGCAGGTTGCACAAAAAGACTGTTTCCAAACTGCTCAATGAAAAAAGTGTTTACCTCTGTGAGATGAATGCACTCTTGACAAACCAGTTTCTCAGAAAGGTTCTTTCTAGTTGATTTGTGAACATATTTCCTTTTCACCATAGGCCTCAGTGTGCTCTGAAATATCCCTCTGCAGATTCTACAACAAGACGTTTTACAAACTGCTCAGTAAATAATGGTTCAACTCTGTCAGATGAATGCACACATCACAAAGCAGTTTCTCAGAAACTCTCTTTCCAGTTTGAATCTGAAGATAATTCCTTTTTATATCTAGGCCTCTATGGTCTCCCAAATATCCCTTTGCAGATTCTAGAAGAACAGCATTTCCAAACTGCTCAATGAAAAGAAAGTTTACCTCTGTGAGATGAATGTATGCATCACAAAGCCATTTCACAGAAAGCTTCTTTCTAGTTTTCATGTGAAGATATTTCCTTTTTCACCATAGGCTTCAATGCACTAACAAATATGTCTTTGCAGATTCTCCAAGAACAGAGTTTCCAAACTGCTCAAAGAAAAGAAACTTTTACACCTATGACCTGAATGCACACATGTCAAAGCAGTTTCTCGGAAATCTTCTCTCTAGTTTCTATGTGAAAAAGACTGTTTCAAAACTGCTCTGTTTAAAGAAAGTTTCAACTCTGTGAGATGAATGCACACATCACAAAGAAGTTTCTCCCAAAGCTTCTGTTTAGTTTTTATTTGAAGATATTTCCTTTTTCACCATAGGCCTCAAAGCACTCCAAATATACATTTGTAGATTCTACGAAAAGTTGGTATCCAAACTGCTCTTTCAAAAGAATGATTCAACACTCTGAGATGAATGCACACATCACAAATGTTTCTCAGAATGCTTCTGTCTACTTTTAATGTGAAGTTATTTATTTTTCACCATATGAATCACAATGCTCAGAAATATACCTTTGCCAATAATACAAAAAGACTGTTTGCAAACTGCTCAATGAAAAGAAAGACTCAACATTGTGAGATGAATACACACAACAAAAAAATTCTCAGAAAGCTTCTGTCTAGTTTTTATGAGAAGATAATTCCTTTTTCACCACAGTTCTCAAACTGCTCACAAATATACCTATGCAGAATCTACAAAAAGATTGTTTCCAAACAGCTCAATCAAAAAAAATCTTCAACACTGTGAGATGAATGCACACATCACAAAGAAGTTTCACAGAATGCTTTTGTCTAGTTTTTATGTGAAGATATTTGGTTTTTTACCATAGGCCAAAAATGGCTCACAAATATCACTATGCAGAATCTGCAAAAAGACTTCCAAACTGCTCAATCAAAAGAAAGCATCAAATCTGTGAGATGAATGCACACAAGACAAATAAGTTTCTCAGAAAGATTCTGACTTCTTTTTATGTGGAGATATTTACTTTCTCATCGCAGTCCTCAAACCACTCACAAATATCCCTCTGCAGATTCTAGAAAAAGACTGTTTCCAAACGCCTCAATCAACAGAAAGTTTCAACTCTGTAAGATGAAGGCACATATCAAAAAGTATCCAAACTGCTCAATCAAAAGAGAGGTTCAACTCTGTGACATGAATGCACACACCACAAGGAAGATTTTCAGAATGCTTCTGTCTAGTTTTCATGTGAAGATATTTCCTTTTCAGCTATAGGGCTCAAAGTGCTCCAAATATGCATTTGCAGATACTACACAAAGAGTGCTTCCAACTGTTCACTCAAAAGAAAGGTTCAAAACTGACAGTTAAGTGCACACATCACAAACAAGTTTCTGAGCATGCTTACATCTCGTATTTATGTGAAGATATTTCCTATTCATCTATAGGCCTCAAAGTGCTCCACATATCCATTTGCAGATAGAACATAAAGAGTTTTTTCCAAGCTGCTCAATCAAAAAAAGGTTCAACTCTGTGAATTGAATGCACACATCACGAAGAAGTACCTGGGAATGCTTCTGTCTGGGTTTTATGTGAAGATATTTCCTTTTCCACCAAAGGCCTCAAAGCCCTCCAAATATCCCCATGCAAATTCTACAAAAAGAGTTTTTCAAAACTGCTCAATCAAAAGAACGTTTCAGCTCTGTGAGATGAATGCTGTCATCATAAAGAAGTTTCTCAGAATGCTTCTGTTTAGTATTTATGTGAAATTATTTCCTTTTCTTCTATAGGCCTCAAAGCGCTCCACATATCCATTTTCAGATAGAACATAAAGAGTTTTTCCAAACTGCTCAATCAAAAGAAAGGTTCAACTCTGTGAATCGAATGTACACATCACAAGAAGTACCTGGGAATGCTTCTGTCTAGGTTTTATGTGAAGATATTTCTTCTTCCACCATAGGCCTCAAAGCCCTCCAAATATCCCCATGCAGATTCTACAAAAAGAGTATTTCAAATCAGCTCAATCAAAAGAAAGGTTCAACTCTGTGAGATGAATGAGCTCATCACCAAGAAGTTTCTCACAATACTTCTGTCTAGTTTTTATGTGAAGATATTTCCTTTTCAGCTTTAGGCATCATAGCACTCCAAACATCCACTTGCAGATTCTACAAAAAGAGTGTTTTCAAAGTGCTCAATCAAAAGAAAGTTTCAACTTTGTGGGTTGAATGCACACATCACAAAGAAGTTTCTCAGAATGCTTCTGTCTAGTTTTTTTGGGAAGATATTTGCCTTTTCACCATGAGCCTCAAAGCGCTCCAAATATCCACTTGCAGATTCTACAGAAAGAGTTTCTCAAAAATGCTCAAACAATAGAGAGGTTCAACTCTGTGAGATGAATGCACTCATCACAAAGAAGCTTCTGAGAATGCCTCTGTCTAGTTTTTATGTTAAGATACTTCCTTTTCAGCTATAGGTCTCAAAGCTCTCCACATATCCATTTGCACATACTTCAAAAAGAGTGTTTCCAAACTGCTTAATCAAAAGAAAGTTTCAATTCTGTGAGTTGAATGCACATATCACTAAGAAGTATCTGGGAATGCTTCTATCTAGGTTTTATGTGAAGATATTTCCTTTTCCACAATAGGCCTCAAAGAGCTCCCAATATCCCCTTGCAGACTCTACAAAAAGAATGTCTCAAAACTGCTCAATCAAAAGAAAGCTTCAACTCTGTGAGACGAATGCACTCATCCAAAGAAATTTCTCAGAATATGTCTGTCTAGCTTTTATGTGAAGACATTTTTTTTCAGCTATAGGACTCAAAGCTCACCAAATATCCACCTGCAGATTCTACAAATAGAGTGCATCAAAACTGCTCAATCAAAAGAAAGTTTCAACTCTGTGAGATGAATGCACACATCACAAAGAAGTTTCTGAGAATGCTTCTGTCTAGTTTTTACCTGAAGATATTTCCTTTTCCACCATAGGCCTCAAAGCACTGCAAATATCCACTAGCACATACTACAAAAAGAGTGTTTCCAAACTGCTCTATCAAAAGAAAGTTTAAACTCGTTGAGTAGAATGCACACATTACAAAGTAGTTTCTGAGAGTTCTTCTGTCTCTTTTTTATGTGAATATATTTCCTTTTCAGCTATAGGACGCAAAGCACTCCAAATATCCACTTGCAGATTCTACAAAAAGAGTGTTCAAAACTGCTCAATCAAAAGAAAATTTCAACTCTGTGAGATGAATGCACACATCACACAGCAGTTTCTCAGAATTTTTCTGTCTAGTTTTTATATGAAGATATTTCCTTTTCCACCATAAGCCTCAAAGCACTCCAAATATCCACTTGCAGATTCTACAAAAACAGTTTGTCAAAACAGCTCCATCAAAAGAAGGTTTCAACTCTGTGAGATGAATGCATTCATCACAAAGAAGTTTCTCAGAATACTTCTTTCTAGTTTTTGTGTGAAGATATTTCCTTATCAGCTATAGGCCTGAAAATGCTCCACATATCCATTTACAGTTACTACAAAAACAGTGTTTCCAAACTCCTCAATCAAAAGAAAGGTTCAACTCTGTGAGTTGAATGCACACATCACAAAGAAATATATGACAATGCTTCTGTCTAGGTTTTATTTGAAGGTATTTCCTTTTCCACAGTAGGCCTCAAAGTGCTCCAAATATCCAATTGCAGATTCTACAAAAAGAGTGTTTCAAAACTGCTCAATGAAAAGAAATGTTCAACTCTGTGAGATGAATGCACACATCACAAAGAAGTTTCTCAGAATGCTTCTGTCTAGTTTTTATGTGAAGATATTTCCTTTTCCAACATAGGCCTCAAAGCACTCCAAATATGCACATGCAGATACTACAAAAAGAGATTCTGGAAACTGCTCAATCAAAAGAAAGTTTCAAATCTGTCAGATGAATACACTCATCACAAAGAAGTTTCTCAGAATGCTTTTGTCTAGTTTTTATGTGAAGATATTTCCTTTTCAGCTGCAGGCATCAAAGCACTCCACATAACCATTTGCAGATACTACAAAAAGAGTGTTTCCAAACTGCTCAGTCAAAAGAATGGTTCATCTCTGTAAGCTGAATGCACACATCACATAGAAGTATCTGAGAATTCTTCTATCTAGGTTTTATGTGAAGATATTTCGTTTTCCACCATAGGCCTCAAAGTGCTCCAAATATGCACTTGCAGATCCTACAAAAGAGTGTTTCAAAACTGCTCAATCAATAGAAACTTTCAACTCCTTGAGATAAATGCACTCATCCTAAAAAAGTTTCTCAGAATGCTTCTGTCTAGTTTTTATGTGAAGATATTTCCTTTTCAGCTATAGGCCTCAAAGAGCTCCAAATATCCCCTTGCAGATTCTACAAAAAGAGTGTTTCAAAACTCCTCAATCAAAAGAAAGTTTCAACTCTGTGAGATGAACGCAGTCATCTCAAAGAAGTTTCTCAGAATGCTTCTGTCTATTTTTTATGTGAAGATATTTCCCTTTCAGCTATAGGACTTAAGGCACTCAAATATTCACTTGCAGATTTTACAAAAAGAGTGTTTCCAAACTGCTTAATCAAAAGAAAGGTTCAACTCTGTGAGTAGAATACACATATCTCAAAGAATGTTCTGAGAATGCCACTGTTTAGTTTTTATGTGAAGACATTTTCTTTTCCACCATAGGCCTCAAAGTGCTCAAAATATCCACTTGCAGATTCTACAAAAAGAGTGTTTCAAAACTGCTCCATCAAAAGAAAGGATTAACTCTGTGAGTAGAATGCAGATATTACAAAGAAGTTTCTGAGAATGTTTCTGTCTACTTTTTATGTGAAGATATTTCCTTTTCAGCTATACGCATCAAAGTGCTCCAAATATCCATTTGTAGATACTACAAAAAGTGTGTTTTCAAACTGCTCAATGAAAAGAAAGGTTCAACTTTCTGAGTTCAATGCACACATCACATAGAGGTATCTGAGAACTCTTCTGTCTGGTTTTTATGTGAAGATATTTCTTTTGCACCACAGGCCTCAATACGCTCCAAATATCCACTTGCAGATACTACAAAAATAGTGTTTCCAAACTGCTCAATCAAAAGAAAGGTTCAGCTGTGCGAGATGAATGAACTCATCACAAAGAAGTTTCTCAGAATGCTTCTGTCTAGTTTTTATGTGAAGATATTTCCCTTTCAGCTATAGGACTCAAAGAGCTCCAAATATGCACTTGCAGACACTACAAAAAGAATGTTTCAAAACTGCTCGATCAATAGAAAGGTTCAACTCTCTGAGTTGAATGAGCAGATCAAAAATAAGTTTCGGAGAATGCTTCGGTCTAGTTTTTATGTGAAGATATTTCCTTTTCCACCATAGGCCTCAAAGCGCTGCAAATATCCATTTGCAGACAGTACAAAAAGAGTGTTTTCAAATTGCTCTATCAAAAGAAAGTTTCAACCCTGTGAGTTGAATGCACACAACACAAAGAATTATCAGAGAATGCTTCTGTCTAGTTCTATGTGCATATATTTCCTTTTCCACTGTAGGACTCAAAGAGTACCAATTATTCACATGAAGATTCTACAAAAAGAGTGTCTCAAAACTGCTCAATCGAAGGAAATCTTCAACTCTGTGTGATGAATGTAGACATCACAAAGAAGTTTCTGAGAATGCTTCTGTCTGGGTTTTATGTGAAGATATTTCCTTATCCACCATAGGCCTCAAAGCGCTCCAAATATCCACTTGCAGATTCTACAAAAAGAGTGTCTCCAAACTGCTCAGTCAAAAGAAAGGATCAACTCTGTGAGATGAATGCACACAACACAAAGACGCATCTGAGATTGCTTCTGTCTGGGTTTTATGTGAAGATATTTTCTTTTCCACCATAGGACTCATAGCGCTCCAAATATCCACTTGCAGATTCTACAAAAAGAGTGTTTCAAAACTGCTCAATCAAAAGAAAGGTTCAACTCTGTGAGATGAATGCAGTAATCACAAAGAAGTTGCTCAGAATGCTTCTGCCTAGTTTTTATGGGAAGATATTTCCCTTTCAGCTATAGGACCCAAAACGCTTCAAATATCCACTTGCAGATTCTTCAAAAAGAATGTTTCGAAGCTGCTCAATCAAACGAAATGTTCAACTCTGTGAGTTGAATGCACACATCCCAAAGAAATTTCTGTGAATGCTTCAGTATAGTTTTTATATGAAGATATTTCCTTTCCCACCATAGGCGTCAAAGCGCTCCAAATATCCATTAGTAGATTTTACAAAAAGAGTGTTTCAATACTGCTCAATGAAAAGTTAGTTTCAACACTGTGAGTAGAATGCACACATTACAAAGAAGTTTCTGAGAATGCTTCTGTCTAGTGTTTATGAGAAGCGATTTCTTTTTCAGCTGTAGGCCTCAAAGTGCTCCAAATATCAATTTGCAGATACTACAAAAAGAATGGTTTCATAGTGCTCAATCAAAAGAAAGTTTCAACTCTGTGAGTTGAACGCACACTTCACCAAGAAGTATCAGAGAATGCTTCTGTCAAGCTTTTATGTGAAGATATTTCCTTTACAACCATAGACCTCACAGTGCTCCAAATATCCACTTGCAGATTCTACAAAAAGAGTGTTTCGTAAGTGCACAAAGTAAAGGTTCAACTCTGTGAGTAGAATGCACACATTACAAAGAAGTTTCTGAGAATGCTTCTTTCTAGATTTATGTGAAGATATTTCCTTTTCAGCTATAGGCCTCAAAGCGTTGCAAATATCCATTTGCAGATAGGACCAAAATAGTGTTTTCCAACTGCTCAATGAAAAGAAAAGCTCAACTCAGTGAGTTAAATGCACACATCACAAAGAAGTATCTGAGAATGCTTCTGTCTATTTTTATGTGAAGGTATTTGCTTTTCCAACATAGGCCTGAAAGCGCTCCAAATATCCATATTCAGATACTACAAAAGGAGTGTTTCAAATCTGCTCTATCAAAAGAAAGGTTCAACTCTGTGAGTTGAATGCACACATCACAAAGAAATTTCTGAGAATGCTTCTTCTAGTTTTTATGTGAAGATATTTCCTTTTCCACCATAAGCCTCAAAGGGCTCCAAATATCCATTTGTAGATTCTACAAAAAGAGTGTTTCAATACTGCTCAATGAAAAGAAATGTTCAAATTTGTGAGTTGAATGCACACATCACAAAGAAGTATCTGAGAATGCTTTTGTCTAGGTTTTATGGGAAGATATTTCCTTTTCCACCATAGGCATCAAAGTGCTCTAAATATCCACTTGCATATTCCACAAAAAAAGTGTTTCAAAACTGCTCTGTCAAAAGAAAGATTCAACTCCATGAGTTGAATGCACACGACACAAAGAAGTTTCAGAGAATGCTTCTGTCTAGTTTTTATGTGAAGATATTTCCTTTTACACCATAGGCCTCAAAGCGCTCCAAATATCCACTTGCAGACACTACAAAAAGAGTGTTTCAAAGCTGCTCAATCAAAAGAAACGTTCAACTCTGTGAGCTGAATACACACATCACAAAGAAGTATTTGAGAATGCTTATGTCTAATTTTTATGTGAAGATATTTGCTTTTTCACCATAGGCCTCAAAGCACTCGGAATATCCACATGCAGATACTACAAAAATAGTGTTTCAAAAATGCTCAACCAAAGGAAAGGTCCAACTCTGTGAGTAGAATGCACACATTATAAAGAAGTTTCTGAGAATGCTTCTTTCTAGATTTATGTGAAGATATTTTCTTTTCAATTACAGCCTCAAAGCATTCCAAATATCTATTTGCAGATAGGAACACAATAGTGTTTTCCAACTGCTCAATGAAAAGAAAAGTTCAAATCTGTGAGTTAAATGCACACATCACAAAGGAGTATCTGAGAATGCTTCCGTCTAGTTTTATGTGAAGGTATTTGCTTTTCCAACTTAGGTCTGAAGGCGCTCCAAATATCCACTCTCAGATTCTACAAAAAGAGTGTTTCAAATCTGCTCTATCAAAAGAAAGTTCAACCCTGTGAGTTGAACGCACACATCACAAATAAATTTCTGAGAATGCTTCAGTATAGTTTTTACATGAAGATATTTCCTTTTCTTCTATAGGTCTCAAAGTGCTCCAAATATCCATCTGTAGATTCCACAAAAAGAGTGTTTCAATACTGCCCAATGAAAACTGAGTTTCAACACTGTGAGTAGAATGCACATATTACAAAGAAGTTTCTGAGAAAGATTCTGTCTAGTGTTTATGAGAAGGTATTTACTTTTCAGCTATAGGCCTCAAAGCGCTCCAAATATCCATTTGCAGATACCACAAAAAGAGTGTCTTCTAACTGCTCAATCAAAAGAAAGGTTCAGCTCTGTGAGTTGAATGCACACATCACAAAGTAGTATCTGAGAATGCTTCTGTCAAGCTTTTATGTGAAGATATTTCCTTTACAACCATAGACTTCAAAGTGCTCCAAATATCCACTTGCAGATTCTACAAAAAGAGTGTTTCAAAACTGCTCAATCAAAAGAAAGGTTCAACTCTGTGAGATGAATGCACACATCACAAACAAGTTTCTCAGAATGCTTCCGTCTAGTTTTAAGGGAAGATATTTTCTTTTCCAACATAGGCCTCAAAGCGCTCCAAATATCCACTTGCAGATCCTACAAAAAGAGTTTCTCAAAACTGCTCAAAAGAAAGGTTCAACTCCGTGAGATGAATGCAATCATCACAAAGAAGTTTCTGAGAATGCTTCTATCTAGTTTTTATGTGAAGATATTTCCTTTTCAGCTGTAGGCCTCAAAGCACTCCACATATCCATTTGCAGATACTACAAACAGAATGTTTTCAAACTGCTCAATAAAAAGAACGCTTCAACTCTTTGAGTTGAATGCACACATCACAAAGAAGTATCTGAGAATGCTTCTGTCTAGGTTTTATGAGAAGATATTTCCTTTTCCACCATAGGCCCCAAAGTGCTCCAAATATCCCCTTGCAGATTCTACAAAAAAGAGTGTTTCAAAACTGCTCAATGAAAAGAAAGGTTCAACCTTGTTAGATGAATGCACACATCACAAAAATGTTTCTCAGAATGCTTCTGTCTAGTTTTTATGTGAAGATATTTCCTTTCCCACCATAAGACTCAAGGCGCTCCAAATATTCATTTGCAGATTCTAAAAAAAGAGTTTTTCAAAACTGCTCAAATAAAAGATAGATTCAACTCTGTGAGATGAATGCACTTATCACAAAGAAGTTTCTCAGAATGCTTCTTTCTGGTTTTTATGTGAAGATATTTCCTTTTCAGCTACAGGCCTCAAAGTGCTCCACATAAACATTTGCAGATACCACAAAAAGAGTATTTCCAAACTGCTCAATCAAAAGAAACGTTCAAATCTGTGAGTTGAATGCAGACATCACAAAGAAGAATCTGAGAATTCTTCTCTCTAGTTTTTATGGAAAGATACTTCCTTTTCCACCAAAGGCCTCAAAGCAGTACAAATATTCACAGGCAGATTATGCAAAAAAGAGTGTTTCAAAACTGCTCAATCAAAAGACAGGTTCAACTCTGTGAGTTGATTGCACACATCACAAAGGAGTTTCAGAGAATGTTTCTGTCTAGTTTTTATGTGAAAATATTTCTTTTTCCAACTTAGGCCTCAAACGGAACAAAATATCCTCTTGCAGATTATACAAAAAAGTGTTTCAAAACTGCTCTGTCAAAAGAAAAGTTCAACTCTGTGAGTTGAATGCACACATAACAAAGAAGTTTCTGAGAATGCTTCTGTCTAGTTTTTATGTGAAGATATTCCCATTTCCACCAAAGTCCTCAACGCGCTCCAAGTGTCCACTTGCAGATTCTACAAAAAGACTGTGTCAAAACTGCTCTATCAAAAGGAAGGTTCAACTCTGTGAGTTGAATGCACACATCACAAAGTGGTTTCTGAGAATGCTTCTGTCTAGTTTTTCTGTGAAGATATCCCGTTTCCACCATAGGCCTCAAAGCTCTCCAAATACCCACTTGCAGATTCTACAAAAAGAGTGTCTAAAAACTGCTCTATCAAAAGGAAGATTCGACTCTGTGAGTTGAATGCACACAACACAAAGAAGTTTCTGAGAATGCTTCTGTCTCGTTTCTTTGTGAGGATATTTCCTTTTCCACTACAGGCCTCAAAGCGCTCCAAATGTGCACTTGCAGATTCTACAAAAAGAGTGTTTCAAAACTGGTATATCGAAAGAAAGGTTCAACTTTGTGAGTTCAATGAACTCATCACAAAGAAGTTTCTGAGTATGCTTCTGTCTAGTTTTTATGTGATGATATTCCCATTTCCACTGAAGGCCTCAAAGCGGTCCAAGTATCTACTTGCAGATTCTGCAAAAAGAGTGTTTCAAAAATGCTCTATCAAAAGGAATGTTCAACACTGTGAGTTGAATGCAAACATCACAAAGTAGTTTCTGAGAATGCTGCTGTCTAGTTTTTATATGAAGAAATTTCCTTTTCTACCAGAGGCCTCAAAGCACTCCAAATAACCACTTGCAGATTCTACAAAAAGAATGTTTCAAAACTGCTCTATCAAAAAAAGGGTTCAACTCTGTGAGTTGAATGCAAACATCACAAAGTAGTTTCTGAGAATGTTTCTGTCTAGTTTTTATATGAAGATATTTCCTTTTCTATCATAGGCCTCAAAGCCCTCCAAATATCCACTTGCACATAATACAAAAATAGGGTTTCAAAGCTGCTCTATCAAAAGAAAGGTTCAACTCTGTGATTTGAATGCACACAACACAAAAAAGTGACGGTGAATGCTTCTGTCTAGTTTTTATGTGAAGACATTTCTTTTTCCAACATAGGCCTCAAAGCGCTCCCAATATCCACTTGCAGATTCTACGAAAAGAGTGTTTCAAAACTGCTCTATCAAAAGAAACGATCAACTTTGTAAGTTCAATGCACACTTCACAAAGAAGTTTCTGAGAATGCTTCTGTCTAGTTTTTATGTGAAGATATTTCATTTTCAAGCATAGGCCTCAAAGCGCTCCAAATATTCACATGCAGATTCTACAAAAAGAGTGTTTCAAAACTGCTCAGTCAAAAGAGTGGTTCAACTCTGTGAGATGAATGCACACATCACAAAGACACTTCTCAGAATGCCTCTGTCTAGTTTTTATGTGAAGATATTTCCTTTCCCACCATAAGACCCAAGGCGCTCCAAATATTCACTTGCAGATTCTAAAAAAAGAGTTTCTCAAAACTGCTCAAATAAAAGATAGATTCAACTCTGTGAGATGAATGCACTCATCCAAAGAAGTTTCTCAGAATGCTTCTTTCTGGTTTTTATGTGAAGACATTTCCTTTTCAGCTACAGGCCTCAAAGTGCTCCACATAAACATTTGCAGATACTACAAAAAGAGTATTTCCAAACTGCTCAGTCAAAAGAAACGTTCAAATCTGTGAGTTGAATGCAGACATCACAAAGAAGAATCTGAGAATTCTTCTCTCTAGTTTTTATGGAAAGATACTTCCTTTTCCACCAAAGGCCTCAAAGCAGTACAAATATCCACAGGCAGATTATGCAAAAAAGAGTGTTTCAAAACTGCTCAATCAAAAGACAGGTTCAACTCTGTGAGTTGATTGCACACATCACAAAGGAGTTTCGGATAATGTTTCTGTCTAGTTTTTATATGAAGATATTTCCTTTTCTATCATAGGCCTCAAAGCACTCCAAATATCCACTTGCACATTATACAAAAATAGGGTTTCAAAGCTGCTCTATCAAAAGAAAGGTTCAACTCTGTGATTTGAATGCACACAACACAAAGAAGTGATGGTGAATGCTTCTGTCTAGTTTTTATGTGATGATATTTCTTTTTCCAACATAGGCCTCAAAGCGCTCCCAATATCCACTTGCAGATTCTACGAACACAGTGTTTCAAAACTGCTCTATGAAAAGAAATGATCAACTTTGTGAGTTCAATGCACACATCACAAAGAAGTTTCTGAGAACGCTTCCGTCTAGTTTTTATGTGAAGGTATTTCCTTTTCCACCATAGGCCTTAAAGCGATCCAAATATCCACTTGCAGATTCTACAAAAAGAGTGTTTCAAAAATACTCTATCAAAAGAAAGTTTCATCTCTGTGAGTTGAATGCACAGAATACAAAGAAGTTTCTGCGAATGCTACTGTCTAGTGTTTATGTGAAGATATTTCATTTTCCAACATAGGCCTCAAAGGGAACTAAATATCCACTTGCAGATTCTACCAAAAGAGTGTTCCAAAACTGCTCAATCAAAAGAAACGTTCAAATCTGTGAGTTGAATGCACACACCACAAAGAAGTTATGGATAATGCTTCTGTCTGGGTTTTATGTGAATATATTTCCTTTTCCACCATAGGCCTCAAAGTGCTCCAATTACCAAATTGCAGATTGTAGAAAAAGAGTGTTTCAAAACTGCTCTCTCAAAAGAAAGGTTCAACTCTGTGAGATGAATGCACACATCTCAAAGAAATTTCTGAGAATCCTTCTGTCTAATTTTTATGTGAAGATATTTGCTTTTCCACCATAGGCCTCAAAGCCCTCCAAATATCCCCTTGCAAATGCTACAAAAGGAGTGTTTCAAAACTGCTCTATCCAAAGAAAGGTTCAACTGTATGAGTTGAATGCACACATCACAAAGTAGTTATGGAGAATGCTTCTGTCTAGTTGTTATGTGAAGATATTTCCTTATTCACCATAGGCCTCAAGGCCATCCAAATATCCACTTGCAGATTCCACAAAAAGAGTGTTTCAAAAATGCTCTATCAAAAGAAAGGTTCAGCTCTGTGAGTTTAATGCACACATCACAAAGAAGTTTCAGAGAATCCTTCTGTCTAGTTTTTCTGTGAAGATATTTGCTTTTCCACCATAGGCCTCAAAGCGCTCCAAATATCCACTTGCAGATTCTACAAAAACAGTGTTTCAAAATGGCTCTCTCAAAAGAAAGTATCAACTCTGTGAGTTGAATGCAAACATCTCAAAGAAGTTTCTGAGAGTGCTTCTGTCTAGTTTTTATGTGAAGATATTTCATTTCCCAACATAGGCCTCAAAGGGAACAAAACATCCACTTGCAGATTCTACAAAAAGAGGGTTTCAAAACTTCTCTGTCCAAAGAAAGTTTCAACTCTGTGTGTTCAATGCACACATCACAAAGAAGTTTCGGAAAATGCTTCTGTCTAGTTTTTATGTGAAGATATTTCCTTTTCCACCATAGGCCTCAATGCGCTCCAAATATCCACTTGCAGAATCTACAAAAAGAATGTTTCAAAACTTCTCTATCAAAAGAAAGGTTCAACTCTGAGTTGAATGCACACATCACAAAGAAGTTTTGGAGAAAGCTTCTGTCTAGTTTTAATGTGAAGATATTCCCATTTCTGCCATAGGCCTCAAAGCGCTCCAAATATCGACTTGCAGATACTACAAAAAGAGTGTTTCATAACTGCTCTGTCAAAAGGAGTGTTCAACTCTGTAAGTTGAATGCACACATCACAAAGAAGTTTCTGAGAATGCTTCAATCTAGTTTCTATGTGAAGATATTTCCTTTTCCACCACAGGCCTCAAAGTGCTCCAAATGTCCACTTGCAGATTCTACAAAAAAAGGGTTTCTCAACTGCCCTATCCAAAGAAAGGTTCAACTCTATGAGTTGAATACACACATCACAAAGAAGTTTCGGTGAATGCTTTGTCTAGTATTTATGTGAAGATATTTCATTTCCCAAAATAGGTCTCAAAGGGAACAAAATATCCACTTGCAGATTCTGTAAAAAGAGTGTTTCAAAATTGCTCTAGCAAAAGAAAGGGTCAACTCTGTGAGTTGAATGTACATACAACGAAGAAGTTTCTGAGAATGCTTCTGTCTTGTTTTTCTGTGAAGATATTGCGTTCTCCATCACAGGCCTCTAAGGGAACAACATATCCACTTGCAGATTCTACAAAAAGAGTGTTTCAAAACTGCTCTATCAAAAGAAAGGTTCAACTCTGTGAGTTGATTGCACACATCAAAAAGAAGTTTCAGAGAATGCTTCTGTCTGGTTTTTATGTGAAGATATTCCCTTTTCCACCATAGGCTTCAAAGCACTCATAATATCCACTTACAGATTCTACAAAAAGAGTGTTTCAAAACTGCTCTATTAAAAGAAAGCTTCAACCCTGTGAGCTGAATGTGCACATCACAAAGAAGTTTTGGAGAAAGCTTCTGTCTAGTTTTAATGTGAAGATATTCCCATTTCCGCCATAGGCCTCAAAGCGCTCCAAATATCGACTTGCAGATTCTACAAAAAAGAGTGTTTCATAACTGCTCTGTCAAAAGGAGTGTTCAACTCTGTAAGTTGAATGCACACATCACAAAGAAGTTTCTGAGAATGCTTCAATCTAGTTTCTATGTGAAGATATTTCCTTTTCCACCACAGGCCTCAAAGTGCTCCAAATGTCCACTTGCAGATTCTACAAAAAAAGGGTTTCTCAACTGCCCTATCCAAAGAAAGGTTCAACTCCGTGAATTGAATGCACACATCACAAACAAGTTTCGGTGACTGCTTCTGTCTAGTATTTATGTGAAGATATTTCATTTCCCAAAATAGGCCTCAAAGGGAACCAAATATCCACTTGCAGATTCTGTAAAAAGAGTGTTCCAGAATTGCTCTAGCAAAAGAAAGGGTCAACTCTATGAGTTGAATGTACATACAACAAAGTAGTTTCTGAGAATGCTTCTGCCTTGTTTTTCTGTGAAGATATTGTGTTCTCCAAGATAGGCCTCTAAGGGAACAACATATCCACTTGCAGATTCTACAAAAAGAGTGTTTCAAAACTGCTCTATCAAAAGAAAGCTTCAACCCTGTGAGTTGAATGCACACATCACAAAGTAGTTTCTGAGAATGCTTCTGTCTAGTTTTTAAGTGAAGATATTTTGTTTTCCAACGAAGGCCTCAAAGGAAACAAAATATCCACTTGCAGATTCTACAAAAAGAGTGTTACTAAACTGCTCTCTCAAAAGAAAGTTTCAACTCTGTGAGTTGCACACATCAGAAAGAAGTTTCAGAGAATGCTCCTGTCTAGTTTTTATGTGAAGATATTTCCTTTTCAACTATAGGCCTCAAAGCGCTCCAAATATCCACTTTCAGACTCTACAAAAAGAGTGTTTCAAAACTGCTCTATAAAAAGAAAGGTTCAGCTCGGTGTGTTGAATGCACACATCACAAAGAAGTTTCGGAGAATGCTTCTGTCTAGTTTCATGTGAAGATATTTCCTTTTCAACGACAGGCCTCAAAGAGCTCCAAATATCCAATTGCAGATTCTGCAAAAAGAGCGTTTCAAAACTGCTCCATCAAAAGAAAGGTTCAACCCTTTGAGTTGAATGCACACTACACAAAGAGGTTACAGAGAATGCTTCTGTGTAGTTTTTATGTGAAGATATATCCTTTTCCACCATACGCCTCAAAGCGCTCCAAATATTCACTTGCTGATTCTAGAAAAAGAGTGTTTCAAAACTGCTCTATCAAAAGAAAGGTTCAATTCTGTGAGTTGAATGCACACATAACAAAGAAGTTGATGAGAATCCCTCTGTCTACTTTTTAGGTGAAGATATTCCCGTTTCCACCGAAGGCCTCAAAGAGCTCCAAATATCCACTTGCAGATTCTATAAAAAAAGGTTTTCAAAACTGCTCTATCAAAAGGAAAGTTCATCTCTGTGAGTTGAATGCACACATTACAAAGAAGTTTCTGAAAATGCTTCTGTCTAGTTTTTATGTGAAGATATTCCCATTTCCACCAAAGGCCTCAACGCGCTCCAACTGTCCACTGGCAGATTCTACAAAAAGACTGTGTCAAAGCTGCTCTATCAAAAGGAAGGTTCAACTCTGTGAGGTGAATACACACATCACAAAGTAGTTTCTGAGAATGCTTCTTTCTACTTTTTATGTGAAGATATTCCCGTTTCCACCGTTGGCCTCAAAGCACTCCAAATTTCCACTTGCAGTTTCTACAAAAAGAGTGTTTCAAAACTGCTCTATCAAAAGGAAGGATCAAAACTGTGAGTTGAATACACAAATCACAAAGAAGTTTCTGAGAATGCTTCTGTCTAGTTTTTATTTGAAGATATTTCCTTTTCTACCAGAGGCCTCAAAGCCCTCTAAATATACACCTGCAAATTCTACAAAAAGAGTGTTTCAAAACTGCTGTATCAAAAGAAAAGTTAAATTCTGTGAGTTGAATGCACACATCACAAAGTAGTTTCTGAGAATGCTTCTGTGTAGTTCTTCTATGAAGATATTTCCTTTTCTACCGTAGACCCCAAAGAGCTCTAAATATCCACTTGCAAATTCTACAAAAAGAGTGTTTCAAAACTGCTCTATCAATAGGAAGCTTCAACTCGGTGAGTTGAGTGCAGACATCACAAAGTTGTTTCTGAGAATACTTCTGTCTACTTTTTATGTGAAGATACTCCCGTTTCCAAAGAACGCCTCAAAGCGCTCCAAATATGCACTTGCAAATTCTACCAAAAGAGTGTTTCAAAACTGCCCTATCAAAAGGAAGGTTCAACTCTGTGGGTTGAATGAACACATCACAAAGAAGTTTCTGAGAATTCTTCCGTCTAGTTTTATATGAAGAAATCCCATTTCCAACGAAGGCCTCAAAGAAGTCCAAATATCCACTTGCAGATTCTACAAAAAGAGTGTTTCAGAACTGCTATATCAAGAGGAATGTTCAACTCTGTGAGTTGAATGCAAACATCACAAAGTAGTTTCTGAGAATGCTTCCATCTAGTTTTTAATGTGAAGATATGTCCTTTTCTATAATAGACCTCAAAGCAATCTTAATATACACTTGCAAATTCTACAAAAAGAGTGTTTCAAAACTGCTCTATCAAAAGAAAGGTTAAACTCTGTGAGTTGAAATCACACATCCCATAGTAGTTTCTGAGAATGATTCTGTCTAGTTTTTATATTAAGTTATTTCCTTTTCTACCATAGGCCTCAAAGCGCTCTAAATATCCACTTGCAAATACTACAAAAAGAGTGTTTCAAAACTGCTCTATCAAAAGGCAGTTTCAACTCTGTGAGTTGAGTGCAGACATCACAAAGAAGTTTCTGAGAATACTTCTGTCTGCTTTTTATGTGAAGATACACCCGTTTCCAAAGAAGGCCTCTAAGCACTCCAAATATCCACTTGCAGCCTTTACAAACAGAATGTTTCAAAACTGCTCTATCAAATGAAAGGTTAAACTCTGTGAGTTGAGTCCAGATTTCACAAAGTAATTTCTGAGAATGCTTCTGTCTAGTTTTTCTGTGAAGATATTTCCTTTTCTATCATAGGGTTCAAAGCACTCTAAATATCCACTTGGAAATTCTGTAAAAGAGTGTTTCAAAACTGCTCTATCAAAAGGAAGATTTAACTCTGCGAGTTCAATGCACACATCAGAAAATGTTTCTGAGAATTCTTCGTTCAAATTTTTTTGTAAGGAAATTCCCGTTTTCAACGAAGGGCCCTAAGAGGTCCAAATATCCACTTGCAGATTTTACAAAAAGAGTGTTTCAAAACTGCTCTATCATAAGGAATGTTGAACTCTGTGATTTGAATCAAAATATCACAAAGTAGTTTCTGAGAATGCTTCTATCTAGTTTTTATGTGAAGATATTTACTTTTCTACCACAGGCCTCAAAACGCTGTAAATATACAATTGCAAATTCTACAAAAAGAGTGTTTCAAAACTGCTCTATCAAAAGAAAGGTTAAACTCGGTGAGTTGAACACACACATCACATAAAAGTTACTGAAAATGATTCTGTCTTGTTTTTATATAAAGATATTTCCTTTTCTACCATAGTCCACTAAGTTCTCTAAATATCCACTTGCACATTCTACAAAAAGAGTGTTTCAAAACTTCTCTATCAAAAGGAAGGTTCAACTGTTTCAGTGGAGTGCAGACATCACAAAGAAGTTTCTGAGAATACTTCTATGTGCTTTTAGAGGGAAGATATTCCCATTTCCAAAGAAGGCCTCAAAGCGCTCCAATTATCAACTTGCAGACTTTACAAACAGAGTTTTTCAGAAGTGCTCTATCAAAAGAAAGGTTTAACTCTGTGAGTTGAACGCACACATCACAAAGTAGTTTCTGAGAATGATTCTGTCTAGTTTTTATGTGAAGATATTTCCTTTTCTACCACAGGCTTCAAAGCGCTCTAAATATCCACTTGGAAATTCTACAAAAAGAGTGTTTCAAAACTGCTCTATCTAAAGGAATGTTCAACTCTGAGAGTTAAATGCACACATCACAAAAAGTTTCTGAGAATTATTTTGTCTAGTTTTTATGTGAAGAAATTCCCGTTTCTAACGAAGATCTCAAAGAGGTCCTAATATGCACTTGCAGATTTTTTAAAAAGAGTGTTTCAAAACTGCTGTATCAAAAGGAATGTTTAACTCTGTGAAGTGAATGCAAACATCACAAAGTAGTCTCTGAGAATGCTTCTGTCAAGTTTTTATGTTAAGATATTTCCTTTTCTACCATAGGCGTTAAAGTGCGCCAAATATCCACTTGCAGATATTACAAACAGAGTGTTTCAAAACTGCTCTATGAAAAGAAAGGTTAAACTCTGTGAGTTGAACGCAGACATCACAAAGTAGTTTCTGAGAATGATTCTGTCTAGTTTTTCTATGAAGATATTTCCTTTTCTACCATAGGCCTCCAAGCGCTCTAAATATTCACTTGGAAATTTTACAAAAAGAGTGTTTTCAAACTGCCCTATCGAAAGGAAGGTTCAACTCTGTGAGTTGAATGCACTCGTCAAAAAAAGTTTCTGCGAATTCTTCTTTCTGGTTTTTATTTCAAGAAATTCCCGTTTCCAACAAAGACATCAAAGAGGTCCAAATATAGACTTGCAGATTCTACAAAAAGAGTGTAACAAAACTGCTCTATCAAAAAGAATGTTTAACCCTATGAGTTGAATGCAAACCTCACAAACTAGTTTCACAGAATGCTTCTGTGTAGTTTTCTTATGAAGATATTTCCTTTTCTACCATAGGCCCCAAAGAGCTCTAAATATCCACTTGCAAATTCTACAAAAAGAGTGTTTCAAAACTGGTCTATAAAAAGGAAGTTACAACTCTGTGAGTTGAGTGCAGACATCACAAAGAAGTTCCTGAGAATACTTCTGTCTACTTTTTATGTGAAGATACTCCCGTTTCCAAAGAAGGCCTCGAAGCGCTCCATATATCCACTTGCAGACTTTACAAACAGAGTGTTTCAAAACTGCTCTATCAAAAGAAGATTAAACTCTGTGAGTTGAATGCACACATCACAAAGTAATTTCTGAGAATGATTCTGTCTACTTTTTATATGAAGATATTTACTTTTCTAAAATAGGCCACAAAGCGCTCTAAATATCCACCTGCAGATTCTACAAAGAGAGTGTTTCAAAACTGTTCTATCAAGAGAAAGGTTCAACTCTGTGAGTTTCGTGCAGACATCACAATGTAGGTTCTGAGAATACTTCTGTCTACTTTTTATGTGAAGATATTCCCGTTTCCAAAGAAGGCCTCAAATCGCTCCAAATATCCACTTGCAGACTTTACAAACAGAGTGTTTCAAAACTGCTCTATCAAAAGGAACGTTCAACTCTGTGAGTTAAATGGACACATCACAGAGAAGTTTCCGAGAACACTTCTGTCTACTTTTTATGTGAAGATACTCCTTTTTCCAAAGAAGGCCTCAAAGTGCTCCAGATATCCACTTGCAGACTTTACAGAGTGTTTCAAAACTACTGTATCAAAAGAAAGGATAAACTCTCTGAGTTGAACGTACACATCACAAAGTAGTTTCTGAGAATGATTTTGTCTAGTTTTTATATGAAGGTATTTCCTTTTCTACTATTGGCTTGAAAGCGCTCTAAATATTCAATAGGAAATTCTACAAAAAGAGTGTTTCAAAACTACTCTATCAAAAGGAAGGTTCAACTCTGTGAGTTTAATGCACACATCACAAAGAAGTTTCTGAGAATTCTTCCGTGTAGCTTTATAGGAAGAAATCCCGTTTCCAACGAAGGCCACAGAGAGGTCCAATTATCCACTTGAAGATTCTACAAAAAGAGTTTTCCAAAACTGCTCTATCCAGAGGAATGCTCAACTCTGTGAGTTGAATGCAAACATCACAAAGTAGTTTCTGAGAATGCTTCTGTGTAGTTTTTCTATGAAGATATTTCCTTTTCTACCAAAGCCCGCAAAGCACTCTAAATATCCACTTGCAAATTCTACAAAAAGAGTGTGTCAAAATTGCCCTATCAAAAAAAATTCAACTCTGTGAATCCAGTGCAGATATCACAAAGAAGTTTCTGAGAATACTTCTGTCAACATTTTATGTGAAGATACTACCATTTCCAAAGAAGACCACAAAACGCTCCAGATATCCACTTGCAGACTTTACAGAGTATTTCAAAATTGCTCTATGAAAAGAAAGGTTAAACTCTGTGAGTTGAACACACACAGCACAAATTAATTTCTGAGAATGAGTCTGTCTTGTTTTTATAGGAAGATATTTCCTTTTCTACAATAGGCCTCATAGCCCTCAAAATATTTACTTGGAAATTATACAAAAGGAGTGTTTCAAAACTGCTCTGTCGAAAGGAAGGTTCAACTCTGTGATTTGAATGCACACATCACAAAGAAGTTTCTGAGAATTCTTCTCTCTAGTTTTATATGAAGAAAACTCGTTTCCAAAGAAGTCCTCAAGGTGGTCCGAATATCCACTGGCAAATTTTCGAAAAGACTGTTTCAAAACAGCTCTATAAAGAGGAATGTTCAAGTCTGTGAGATGAATGCAAACATCACAAAGTAGTTTCTGAGAATGCTTCTGTCTAGTTTTTATGTGAAGATATTTCCTTTTCTACCATAGGCCTCAAAGCACCCTAAATATCCACTTGCAAGAACTACAAAAAGAGTGTTTCAAAACTGCTCTATCAAAGGAAAGGTTAAACTCTGTGAGTTGAACCCACACATCACAAAGTAGTTTCATAGAATAATTCTGTCTAGTTTTAATATGAAGATATTTCCTTTTCTACCATAGGCCTCAAAGCGCTCTAAATATCCACTTGAAAATTATACAAATTCCCCTTTCCAATGAAGGAATCAAAGATATCCAAATATCCACTTGCAGATTCTACAAAAAGAGTGTTACAAAACTGTTCTATCATAAGGAATGTTCAATTCTGTGAGTTGAATGCAAACATCACAATGTAGTTTCTGAGAATGCTTCTGTCTAGTTTTTATGTTAAGAAATTTCCTTTTATACAATAGGCCTCAAAGCGCTGTAAATATACACTTGCAAATTCTACCAAAAGAGCGTTTCAAAACTGCTCTATCAAAAGAAAGTTTAAACTCTGTGAATTGAATTCACACATCAAAAAATAGTTTCTGAGAATTCTTCTGTCTAGTTTCTATATGAAGATATTTCCTTTTCTGCCATCTGTCTCAAAGCTCTCTAAATATCCACTTGGAAATAGTACAAAAAGAGTGTTTCAAAGCTGCTCTATCGAAAGGAAGGTTCAACTCTGAGTTGAATGCACACATAACAAAGAAGTTTCTGAGAATTCTTCTGTCTTGTTTTTTTATGAAGAAATTCCCGTTTCCAACGAAGGCCTCAAAGAGGTCGAAATATCCACTTGCAGATTCTACAAAAAGAGTGTTACAAACCTGCTCTATCAAACGTAATGTTCAACTCTGTGAGTGGAATGCAAACATTACAAAGTAGTTTCTGAGAATGCTTCTGTCTAGTATTATATGAAGAAATTCCGTTTCAAACGAAGGCCTCAAAGCGCTCCAAATATCCACTTGCAGACTTTACAGAGTGTTTCAAAACTGCTGTCTCAAAAGAAAGGTTAAACTCTGTGAGTTGAACGCACACATCAAAAAGTAGTTTCTGAGACTGATTCTGTTTAGTTTTTATATGAAGATATTTTCTTTTCTACAATGGGCTTCAAAGCGCTCTAAATATCCACTTGGAAATTCTACAAAAAGAGTGTTTCAAAACTGCTGTATCAAAGGGAAGGTTCAACTCTGTGAGTTGAATGCACACATCACAAAACGTTTCTGAGAATTCTTCTGTCTAGTTTTTATGTGAAGGAATTCCCGTTTCCAGCAAAGGCCTCAAAGAGGTCCAAATATCTGCTTGCAGATTCTAAAAAAAGAGTGTTTCAAAACTGCTCTATCAAAAGGAATGTTGAACTCTGTGAGTTGAAAGGAATCTTCACAATGTAGTTTCTGAGAATGTTTCTGTGCAGTTTTTATGTGAAGATATTTACTTTTCTACCATAGGCCTCAAAGCCCTCTAAATACACACTTGCTAATTCTACAAAAAGAGTGTTTCAAAACTGCTCTATCAAAAGAAAGGTTAAGCTCGGTGAGTTGAATGCACACATCACAAAAATTTCTAAGAATTCTTCAGTCTGGTTTTTATGTGAAGAAATTCCCGTTTCCAATGAAGGCCTCAAAGAGGTCCAAATATCCTCTTGCAAATTCTGGAAAAAGAGTGTTTCAAGACTGCTCTATCAAAAGGAATGTTGAACACTGTGAGTTCAATGCAAACATCAGAAAGAAGTTTCTGAGAATGCTTCCTTCTAGTTTTTATGTGAAGTTATTTCATTTTCTACCATAGGCCTCAAAGCCCTCTAAATACACACATGCAAATTCTACAAAAAGAGTGTTTCAAAACTGCTCTACCAAAAGGCAGGTTCAACTCTGTGAGTTGAACGTAAACATCGCAAAGTAGTTTCTGAGAATGCTTCTGTCTAGTTTTTATATGAAGATATATCCTTTTCTACCTTAGTCCTCCAAGCGTTCTAAATATTCACTTGGAAATTCTACAAAAAGAGTATTTCAAATCTTCTCTATGGAAAGGAAAGTTCAACTCTGTGAGTTGAATGCAAACATTACAAAGAAGTTTTTGAGAATTTTTCTGTCTAGTATTTATATGAAGAAATTCCCGTTTCCAACGAAGGCCTCAAAGTGGTCCAAATATCCACTTGCAGATTCTACATAAAAAGTATTACAAAACTGCTCTATCAAGAGGAATGTTCAAAACTGTGAGTGGAATGCAAACACCACAAAGTAGTTTCTGAGAATGCTTCCATGTAGTTTTTCCATGAAGATATTTCCTTTTCTACCTTAGGACTTAAAGCTCTCTAAATATCCACTTGCAAATTCTACCAAAATAGTGCTTCAAAACTGCTCTATAAAAAGGAAGGTTCAACCCCTTGAGTTGAGTGCAGACATCACAAAGAAGTTTCTGAGAAAACTTCTTTTTACTTTTTAGAGGAAGATACTCCCTTTACCAAGGAAGGCCTCAAAGCGCTCCAAATATCCACTTGCAGACTTTGCAGAGTGATTCAAAACTGCTATATCAAAAGAAAGGCTAAACTCTCTGAGTTGAACTCACACATCACAAAGTAGTTTTTGAGAATGATTCTGTCTAGTTTTTATATGAAGATATAAATTTTTCTACCGTAGGCCACAAAGCGTTCTAAATATCCACTATAAAATTCGGCAAAAAGAGTGTTTCCAAACTGCACTATCAAAATGAAGGTTCAACTCTGTGAGTTGAATGCACACATCAAAATATTTTCATGGAATTCTTCTTTCTAGTTTTTATGTGAAGGAATTCCCATTTCCAACGAAAGCCTCAAAGAGGTCCAAATATCCAATTGCAGATTCTACCAAAAGAGTATTTCAAACTGCTCTATCAAAAAGAATTTTGAACTCTGTGAGTTGAATGCAAACATCACAAAGTAATTTCTGAGAATGCTTCTGTCTAGTTTTTATGTGAAGATATTTCCTTTTCTACCATGGGCCTCAAAGCCCTCTAAATACACACTTGCAAATTCTACACGAAAAGAGTTTCAAAACAGCTCTATCAAAAGAAAGGTTAAACTCTGTGAGTTGAATGGACACATCACAAAGTAGTTTCTGAGAATGATTCTGTCTAATTTTTCTATGAAGATATTTCCTTTTCTACCATAGGCCTCCAAGCACTCTAACTATTCACTTGGAAATTCTACCAAAGAGTGTTTCAAAACTGCTCTATTGAAAGGAAGGTTCAATTCTGTGAGTTGAATGCACACATTCCAAAGAAGTTTCTGAGAATTCTTCTGACTAGTTTTTGCATGAATAAATCCCATTTCCAACGAAGGCCTCAATGAGGTCCAAATATCCACTTGCAGACTTTACAGAGTTCTTCAAAACTGCTCTATCGAAAGGAAAGTTCAACTCTGTGAGTTGAATGCACACATCACAAAGAAGTTTCTGAGAATTCTTCTGTCTAGTTTTATATGAAGAAATCCAGTTTCCAACGAAGGCCTCAAAGTGGTCCAAATACCCACTTGCAGATTCTACAAAAAGAGTGTTTCAAAACTGCTCTATCAAGAGGAATCTTCAACTCTGTGATTTGAATGCAAACATCAAAAATAGCTTTTGAGAAGGCTACTGTCTAGTTTTTTTTGTGAAGGTATTTCCTTTTCTACCATAGGCCTCAAAGCCCTCTAAATATGCAATTGCAAATTCTACAAAAGGAGTGATTAAAAACTGCTCTATCAAAAGGAAGGTTCAACTCTGTGAGTTGAATGCACACATCACAAAATGTTTCTGAGAATTCTTCTGTCTAGTTTTTACGAGAAGAAATTCCCGTGTCCAACGAAGTCATCAAAGAGGTCCAAATATCCACTTGCAGTTTCTACAAAAAGAGTGATTCAAGACTGCTCTATCAAAAGGAATGTTGAACTCTGTGAGTTGAATGCCAACATCGCAAAGTAGTTTCTGAGAATGCTTCTGTCTAGTTTTTATGTGAAGATATTTCCTTTTCTACATACGCCTCAAAGCCCTCTAAATACACACTTGCAAATTCTACAAAGAGAGTTGTTCAAACTGCTCTATCAAAAGAAATGTTAAACTCTGTGAATTGAACGCACACATCACAAAGTAGTTTCTGAGAATTATTCTCTCTAGTTTTTATATGAAGATATTTCCTTTTCTAACACAGGCCTCCAAGCGCTCTAAATATTCAATTGGAAATTCCACAAAAAGAGGGTTTCAAAACTCCTCTATGGAAAGGAAGGTTCAACTCTGTGAGTTGAATGCACACATCACCAAGAAGTTTCTGAGAATTCTTCTGTCTACTTTTTATATGAAGATATTCCCGTTTCCAATAAAGGCATCAAAGAGGTCCGAATATCCCCTTGCAGATTCTACAAAAAGACTGTTACAAAACTCCTCTATCAAAAGGAATGTTCACCTCTGTAAGTTGAATGCAAACATCACAAAGTGGTTTCTGAGAATGCTTCTGTGTAGTTTTTCTGTGAAGATATTTCCTTTTCTACCACAGGCCCCAAATCGCTCTAAATATCCACTTGCAAATTCTACAAAAAGAGTGTTTCAAAGCTGCTCTACCAAAAGGAAGGTTCAACTCGGTGAGTTGAGTGCAGACATCACAAAGAAGTTTCTAAGAATACTTCTATCTACTTTTTATGTGAAGATATTCCCGTTTCCAAAGAATTCCTCAAAGTGCTCCAAATATCCACTTGCAGACTTTACAAACAGAATGTTTCCAAACTGGACTATCAAAAGAAAGGTTAAACTCTGTGAGTGGAACGCACACATCACAAAGTCGTTTCTGAGAATGATTCTGTCTAGTTTTTATATGAAGATATTTCGTTTTCTACTATTGGCCTCAAAGCGCTCTAAATATCCACTTGCAAAATCTACAAAAAGAGTGTTTCAAAACTGCTCTATCAAAAGGAAGGTTCAACTCTGTGAGTGGAATGCACACGTCACAAAAAGTTTCTGAGAATTCTTCTGTCTAGTTTTTACGTGAGGAAGTTCCTGTTTCAAACGAAGGCATCAAAGAGATCCAAATATCCATTTGCAGATTCTAAAAAAAGAATGTTTCAAAACTGATCTATCAAAAGAAATGTTGAACTGTGTGAGTTGAATGCAAACATCACAGAGTAGTTTCTGAGAATGCTTCTTTCTAGTTTTTATGTGAAGATATTTCCTTTTCTACCATAGGCCTCAAAGCCCTCTAAATACACCCTTGCAAATTCTACAAAAAAGGTGTTTCAAAACTGCTCTTTCAAAAGAAATGTTAAACTCTTTGAATTGAATGCACACATCACAAAATATTTTCTGAGAATGATTCTGTCTAGTTTTTTTTTGAAGATATTTCCTTTTCTACCATAGGCCTCAAAGCGCTCTAAATAATCACTGGAAAATTCTACAAAGATAGTGTTTCATAAATGTCCAATCGAAAGGAAGGTTCAACTTTGTGAGTTGAATGCTCACTTCACAAATAAGTTTCTGATAATTCCTCTGTCTAGTTTTATATGAAGAAATCCCATTTCCTAAGAAGGCCTCTACGAGGTCCAAATATCCATTTGCAGATTCTACAAAAAGAGTGTTTCTAAACTGCTCTATCAAGGGGAATGATCAACGCTGTGAGTTGAATGCAAACATCAAAAAGTAGTTTCTGAGAATACTTCTGTCTAGTTTTTATGTGAAGATATTTCCGTTTCTACCATAGGCCTCAAAGCGCTCTGAATATACATTGCAAATACTACAAAAACAGTGTTTCAAAACAGCTCTATCAAAGGAAAGGTTAAACGAGGTGAGTTGAATGCACACATCAAAAATTAGTTTCTGAGAATTATTCTGTCTAGTTTTTGTATGAAGATATCTCCTTTTCTACCATAGGCCTCCAAGCGCTCTTAATATTCACTTGGAAATCCTACAAAAAGAGTGTTACAAACTGCTCTATCAAAACAAAGGTTTAACTCTGTGAGTTGAATGCACATATCACAAAGAAGTTTCTGAGAATTCCTCTGTCTAGTTTTATATGAAGAAATCCCTTTTCCCACAAAGGCCTCAAAGAGGTCCAAATAGCCACTTGAAGATTCTATAAAAAGAGTGTTTCAAAACTGTTCTATCAACGGGAATGTTCAACTCTCTGTTGAATGCAAACATCATAAAGTAGTTTCTGAGAGTGCTTCTGTCTAGTTTTTATGTGAAGATATTTCCTTTTCTACCTTAGACCTCAAAGAGCTCTAAATATACACTTGCAATTTCTACAAACAGATTGTTTCAAAACTGCTCTATCAAAAGAAAGGATAAACTCAGTGAGTTGAATGCACACATCACAAAGTAGCTTCTGAGAAAGATTCTGTCTAGTTTTTATATGAAGATATTTCCTTTTCTAACTCAGGCTTCAAAGCGCTCTAAATATCCACTTGCAGATTCTACAAAAAGAGTGTTTCAAAACTGCTCTATCAAAAGGAAGGTTCAACTCTGTGACTTGAATGCACACATCACAGAAAGTTTCGGAGAATTCTTCTGTCTGGTTTTTATTAACGAAATTCTCGTTTACTATGAAGGCCTCAAAGAGGTCCAAATACCCACCTACAGATTTTACAAAAAGTGTGTTTCAAAACTGCTCTATCAAAAGGAATGTTGAACTCTGTGAGTTGAATGCAAACATCACAAAGTAGTTTCTCAGAATGCTTCCCTCTATTTTTTATATGAAGATATCTCCTCTTCTAACTCAGGCCACAAAGCGCTCTAAATATCCATTGCACATTCAACAAAAAGAGTGTTTCAAACTGCTCTACCAAAAGGAAGGCCTCAAGTCTACTAAATACACACTTGCAAATTCTTCAAAAAGAGATTTTCAAAACTGCTCTATCAAAAGAAAGGTTAAACTCTGTGAGTTGAGTGCAGACAGGACAAAGGTGTTTCTGAGAATACTTCTGTCTACATTGTATGTGAAGATACTCCCATTTCCAAAGAAGGCCTCAAATTGCTCCAAATATCCACTTGCAGACTTTACAGAGTGTTTCAAAACTGCTCTATCAAAAGAAAGGTTAAACTCTGTGATTTGAACGCACACATCCCAATGTAGTTTCTGAGAATGATTCGGTCTAGTTTTACATGAAGAAACTTCCTTTTCCACCAAGGGCTTCAAAGGGCCCTAAATATTCGCTTAGAAATTCTACAAAAAGAGTGTTTCAAAACTACTCTGTCGAAAAGAAGGTTCAACTCTCTGAGTTGAATGCACACATCGGAAAGAAGTTTCTGAGAATTCTTCTGTCTAGTTTTATATGAAGAATTCCTGTTTGTAACGAAGGCCTCCAAGAGGTCCAAATATCCGCTTACTGATTCTACAAAAATAGTGTTTCAAAACTGGTCTATGAAGAGGAATGTTCAACTCTGTGAGTTGAATGCAAACATCACAAAATAGTTTCTGAGAATGCTTCTGTCCAGTTTTTATGTGAAGATATTTCCTTTTCTACCATAGGCCTCAAAGCACTCTAAATATACACTTGAAGATTCTACAAAAAGAGTATTTCAAAACTGTTCTATCAAAAGAAAGGTTAAACTCTGTGAGGTAAATGCACACATCACAAAGTAGTTTCTGAGAATGATTCTGTGTAGTTTTTCCATGCAGATATTTCCTTTTCTAACATAGTCCCCAAAGCGCTCTAAATATCCACTTGCAAATTCTACAAAAAGAATGTTTCGAAACTGCTCTATCAAAAGGAATTTTCAACTCTGTGAGTTGAGTGCAGACATCACAAAGAAGTTTCTGAGAATACTTCTGTCTAATTTCTTTTGGAAGATACTCCCGTTTCCAAAGAGGGCCTCAAAGCGCTCCAAATATCCACTTGCAGAATTTACAAACAGATTGTTTCAAAACTGCTCTATCAAAACAAAGGTCAAACTCTATGAGTTGAACGCACACATCAGAAAGTAGTTTCTGAGAATGATTCCATCTAGTTTTTATATGAAGATATTTCCTTTTCTACCATAGGCCTCAAAGCGCTCTAAATATCTTCTTGCAAATTCTACAAAAAGAGTGTTTCAAAACTGCTGTATCAAAAGGGACACTCAACTCTGTGAGTTGAGTGCAGACATCAAAAAGAAGTTTCTGAGAATACTTCTGTCTACTTTTTATGTGAAGATATTCCCGTTTCCAAAGAAGGCCTCAAAGCTCTCCTACTATCCACTTGCAGACTTTACACAGTGTTCCAAAAGTGATCTGTCAAAAGAAAGGTTACACTCTGTGAGTTCAACGCACACATTAAAAAGTAGTTTCTGAGGATGATTCTGTCTAGTTTTTATATGAAGATATTTCCTTTTCTACCATAGGCTTCAAAGCGCTCTAAATATCCACTTGCAAATTCTACAAAAAGAATGTTTCAAAACTGCTTTATGAAAAGGAAGGTTGAAAACTGAGAGTTGAATGCACACATCACAAAAATTTCTGAGAATTCTTCTGTCTAGTTTTTATGTGAAGAAATTCCCGTTTACAAGGAAGGCTTCAAATAGGTCCAAATATCCACTTGCAGAGTCTGCAAAAAGAGTGTTTCAAAACTGCTTTATCAAAAGGAATGATGAAATCAGTGAGTTGAATGCAAACATCATAAAGTAGTTTCTGAGAATGATTCTGTCTAGTTTTTATGTGAAGATATTTCCTTTTCTACCATAGGCCTCAAAGCCCTCTAAATCCACACTGGCAAATTCTACAAAAAGAGTATTTCAAAACTGCTCTATCAAAAGGAAGGTTCAACTCTGTGAGTTGAGTGCAGACATCACAAAGAAGTTGTTGAGAATACTTCTCTCTAGTTTTATGTGAAGATACTCCAGTTTCCAAAGAAGGTCTCAAATCGCTTCAAATATCCACTTGCAGACTTTACAGAATGTTTGAAAACTGCTCTATCAGAAGAAAGGTTAAACTGTTTGAGTTGAACACACACATCACAAAGTAGTTTCTGAGAATGATTCTGTCTTGTTTTTATATGAAGATATTTCCTTTTCTACCATAGGCCTCAAAACGCTCTATATATCCACTTGGAAATTCTACAAAAAGAGAGTTTCAAAACTGCTCTGTCGAAAGGAAGGTTCAAATCTGTGAGTTGAATGCACACATCAAAAAAAAGTTTCTGAGAATTCTTCTGTCTAGTATTATGAAGAAATACCGTTTCCAACGAAGTCAACAAAGTGGTCCAAATATCCACTTGCATATTCTACAAAAAGAGTGTTTCAAACAACTCTACAAAGAGGAAAGTTCAACTCTCTGAGTTGAATGAATACATCCAAATTAGTTTCTGAGGATGCTTCTTTATAGATTTTATGTGAAGATATTTCCTTTTCTACCATAGACCTGAAAGCGCTCTAAATATACACTTGCAAATTCAAGAAAAAGTGTGTTTCAAAACTGTTTATCAAAAGAAAGGATAAACTCTGTGAGTTGAATGCACAAAACACAAAAAGTTTCTTAGAATGCTTCTGTCTGGTTTTTATGCGAAGAAATTCCTGTTTCCAACGAAGGTCTCAAAGAGGTCCAAATATACACTTGCAGATTCTACAAAAAGAGTGTTTCAAAACTGCTCTATCAAAAGGAATGTTCAACTCCGTGAGTTGAATGCAAACATCACAAAGTAGTCTCTGAGAATGCTTCTGTCTAGTTTTTATGTGAAGACATTTCCTTTTCTACCATAGGCCTCAAAGTGCTCTAAATATACGCTTGCAAATTCTACAAAATGAGTGTTTCAAAACTGCTCTATCAAAAGAATGGTTAAATTCTCTGAGTTGAATGCACACATCACAAAGTATTTTCTGAGAATGATTCTGTCTAGTTTTTATATGAAGATATTTCCTTTTCTATCATAGGCCTCAAAAAACTCTAAATAACCAATTGGAAATTCTACAAAGAGAGGGTTTCAAAACTTCTCTATCAAAAGGAAGGTTCAACTCTGTGAGTTGAGTGCAGCCCTCACAAAGAAGTCTCTGAGAATACTTCTATCTACTTTTCTTATGAAGAAACAATCTTCTCAAAAGAAGGCCTCAAAGCGATTTAAATATCCACTTGCAGACTTTACAAACATAGTGTTTCAAAACTGCTCTATTAAGAGGAAACTTCAACTCTGTGAGTTGAATGGAAACATCACAAAGTAGTTTTTGAGAATGTGTCTATCTACTTTCCAAGTGAAGATATTTCCTATTCTACCATAGGCCTCAAAGTGCCCTAAATAGATACTTGCAAATTCTACAAAAACAGGGTTTTAAAACTGCTCTATCAAAAGAAAGGTTAAACTCTGTGAGTTGAATACACACATCACAAAGTAATTTCTGAGAATGATTCTGTCTAATTTTTATATGAAGATGTTTCCTTTTCTACCATTGTCCTCAAAGTGCTCCAAATATCCACTTGTAAATTCTACAAAAAGAGTGTTTCAAAACCGCTCCATCAAAAGGAAAGTTCATCTCTGTGTGTTGAATGCACACATCACAAAGCAGTTTCTGAGAATTCTTCTGTCTAGTTTTTATATGAAGATATTCCCGTTTCCAACGAAGGGCTCAAAGAGGTCCAAATATCGACTTGCAGATTCTACATAAAGACTGTTACAAAAATGCCCCATCAACGGAAGTGTTCAACTCTGTGAGTTGAATGCAAACATCACAAGGTAGTTTTTGAGAATGCTTCTGTGTAGTTTTTCTATGAAGATATTTCCATTTCTACCAAAGGCCCCAAAGCGCTCTAACTTTCCACTTCCAAATTCTACAAAAAGAGTGTTTCAAAAATGCTCTATAGAAAGGAAGCTTCAACTCTGTGAGTTGACTGCAGACATCACAAAGAATTTTCTGAGAATACTTCTGTCTACTTTTTATATGAAGATACTCCCGCTTTGAAAGAAGGCCTCAAGCGCTCCAAATATCCACTTGCAGACTTTACAAACAGAGTGTTTCAAAACTGCTCTATGAAAAGAAAGGTTAAACTCTGTGAGTTGAACGAACACATCACAAAGTAGTTTCTGAGAATGATTCTGTCTAGTTTTTATAAGAAGATAATGCATTTTCTAACATAGGCCTCAATGCGCTCTAAATATCCACTTGCAAATCCTACAAAAAGAGTGTTTCAAAACTGCTGTATGAAAAGGAAGGTTCAACTCTGTGAGTTGAGTGCAGACATCACAAAGAATTTTCTGAGAATACTTCTGTCTACTTTTTATATGAAGATACTCCCGCTTCGAAAGAAGGCCTCAAGCGCTCCAAATATCCACTTGCAGACTTTACAGAGTATTTCAAAACTGCTCTATGAAAAGAAAGGTTAAACTCTGAGTTGAACGAACACATCACAAAGTAGTTTCTGAGAAAGATTCTGTCTAGTTTTTCTATGAAGATATTTCCTTCTCTACCGTAGACTTCAAAGCGCTCTAAATATACAATTGGAAATACTACAAAAAGAGTGTTTCAAAACTTCTCTATCAAAAAGGAGATACAATTCCGTGAGTTGAAAGCCCACATCACAAAATGTTTCTGAGAATTCTTCTGTCTACTTTTTCTATGAAGAAATTCCCGTTTCCAACGAAGGCCTCAAAGAGCTCCAAATATCCACTTGCAGATTCTACAAAAAGAGTGTTACAAAACTGCTCTTCGAAAGGAATGTTAAACTCTGTGAGTTGAATGCACACATCACAGGGAAGTTTCTGACAATTCCTCTGTCTTGTTTTTATGTGAAGATATTTCCTTTTCTATGATAGGCCTCATAGCGTGCTAAATATACACTAGCAAATTCTAAAAAGAGTGTGTTTCAAAACTGCTATATCAAAAGAAAGGATAAACTCTTTGAGTTGAACACACACCTCACAAAGTAGTTTCTCAGATGATTCTGTCTAGTTTTTATATGAAGATGTTTCCTTTTCTACTGTAGGCATCAAAGGACTCTAAATATCCACTGGAAATTCTACAAAAAGAGTGTTTCAAAACTGCTCTATCAAAAGGAAGGTTCAACTCTGTGAGTTGAATGCAAACATTACACAGAAGTTTCTGAGAATACTTCTGTCTAGTTTTATATGAAGAAAACCCTTTTCCAATGAAGGCCTAAAAGAGGTCAAAATATCCACGTGCAGATTCCACAAAAAGAGTGTTTCAAAACTGTCCTATCAAAAAATTTTAAACTCTGTGAGTTGAACGCACACATCACATAGTAGTTTCTGAGAAAGGTACTGTCCAGTTTTTATATGAAGATATTTCCTTTTCTATCATAGACCTCGAAGTGCTCTAAATATCCACTTGGAAATTCTACAAAAAGAGTGTTTCAAAATTGCTCTATCGAAGGGAACTTTCAACTCTCTGAGTTGAATGCACACATCACAGAGAAGATTCTGAGAATTCTTCTGTCTAGTTTTATGTGAAGAAATTCCCGTTTAAAACGAAGGCCTCAAAGAGGTCCAAATATCCACTTACAGATTGTACAAAAAGAGTGTTTCAAAACTGCTCTGGCAAGAGGAATTTTCAACTCTATGAGTTGAGTGCAAACATCACAAAGTAGTTTTTGAGAATAATTCTGGGTGGTTTTTCTATGAAGATATTTCCTTTTCTACCATAGGCCTCAAAGCGTTCTAAATATCCACTTGCAAATTCTACAAAAAGAGTGTTTCAAAACTGCTCTATCAACAGGAAGGTTCAAATCTGTGACTTGAGTGCAGACATCACAAAGAAGTTTCTGAGAATAATTCTGTCTACTTTTTATGTGAAGATATTCCCGTTTCCAAAGAAGGCATCAGAGCCCTCCAAATACCCACTTGCAGATTTTCAAAACTGCTCTATCAAAAGAAAGTTTAAGCTCTGTGAGTTGAATGCACACATCACAAAATGTTTCTGAGAATTATTCTGTCTAGTTTTTGTGTGAAGATACTTCATTTTCTACCATAGGCCTCAAAGCCCTCTAACTACACACTTGCAAATTCTTCAAAAAGTGTGTTTCTAAAATGCTCTATCAAAAGGAATATAGAAAACTGTGAGTTGAATGCAAACGTCACAAAGTATTTTCTAAGACTATTTCTGTCTAGTTTTTAGGTGAAGATATTTCCTTTTCTACCATAGGCCTCAAAGCCATCTAAATACACACACCCAAATTCTACAAAAAGAGTGTTTCAAAACTGCTCTATCAAAAGAAAGGTTAAAATCTGTGAGTTGAACCCACACATCACAAAGTAGTTTCTGAGAATTATTGTGTCTAGTTTTTCTATGAAGATGTTCCCTTTTTTACCATAGGCCTCAAAGCGCTCTAAATATTCACTTGGAAATTCTACAAAAGGAGTCTTTTGAAACTGCTCTGTCGAAAGGAAGGTTCAACTCTGTGACTTTAATGCACACATCACAAAGAAGTTTCTGAGAATACTTTTGTCTACTTTTTATGTGAAGAGATTCCCGTTTCCAAAGAAGGCCTCAAAGCGCTCTAAATATCCACTTGCAGATTGTACAAACAGAGTTTTTCAACACTGCTCTATCAAAAGAATGGTTAAACTCTGTGAGTTGAATGCCCACAACACAAAGTAGTTTCTGAGAATGTTTCTGTCTAGTTTTTCTGTAAAGATATTTCCTTTTCTACCATTGGCCTCAAAGCCCTCTAAATACACACTTGCAATATCTACCAAAAGAGCGTTTCAAACTGCTCTATCAAAAGAACGGTTAAACTCTGTGGGTTGAACACACACATCACAAAGTAGTTTCTGAGAATGATTCTGTCTATTTTTTCTATGAAGATATTTCCTTTTCTACCACAGGCCTCAAAGCGCTCTAAATAATAACTTAGAAATAGTACAAAAAAGGGTGTTTCAAAACTGCTCTAAGGAAAGGAAGATTCAACAAGGTTTGTTGAATACACTCATCACAAAGAAGTTTCTGAGAATTGTTCTGTCAAGTTTTAAATGAAGAAATCCCGTTTCCAATGAAGGTCTGAAAGAGTTCCAAATATCCACTTGCAGATTCTAAAAAAAGAGAGTTTCAAAACTGCTCTATCAAGAGTAATGTTCAACTCTGTGGGTTGAATGCAAACATCTAAATTAGTTTCTGAGAATGCTTCTGTCTACTTTTTATGTGAAGATATTTCCTTTTCTACCATAGGCTGCAAACCACTCTAAATATACAGTTGCAAATACTACAAAAAGAGTGTTTCAAAACTGCTCTACCAAAAGAAACGATAAGCTCTGTGAGTTGAATGCAAACATAACAAACTAGTTTCTGAGAATGATTCTGTCTAGTTTTTATATGAAGATATTTCCTTTTCTACATTAGGCCTCCAAGGGCTCTAAATATGCACTTGGAAATACTACAAAACGAGTTTTTCAAAACTGCTCTATCGAAAGGGACGTTCAACACTTTGAGTTGAATGCACACATCACAAAGAAGTTTCTGAGAATTCTTCTGTCTAGTTTAATATGCAGAAATCCCATTTTAATGAAGGCCTCAAAGAGGTCCAAATATCCACTTGCAGATACTACAAAAAGAGATTTTCAAAACTGCTCTATCAAAAGAAAGGTTAAACTCTGTGAGTTGAACCCAACATCACAAAGTAGTTTCTGAGAATGATTCTGTCTAGTTTTTATATGAAGATTTTTCCTTTTCTTCCATAGGCCTCAAAGCTCTCTAAATAACCACTTGGAAATTCTTCAAAAAGAGTGTTTCCAAACTGCTCTATCAAAAGGAAGGTTCAACTCTGTGAGTTAAATGAGCATATAACAAAAATTTCTGAGAATACTTCTGTCAAGTTTATAGGTGAAGAAATTCCTGTTTCCAACGAAGGCCTCATAGGGCTCTATATATAGACTTCCAAATCCTACAAAAAGAGTGTTTAAACTGCTCTATCAAAAGAAAGGTTAACCTCTGTGAGTTGAACGCACACATTACAAAGTAGTTTCTGAGAATGATTCTGTCTAGTTTTTAAGTGAAGATATTTCCTTTTCTACCATAGGCTTCAAAGTGTTCTAAATATCCACTTGGAAATTCTAGAAAAGGAATGTTTCAAAACTACTCTATCAAAAGGAAGGCTCAACACTGTGAGTTGAATGCACATATCACAAAAACTTTCTGAGAATTCTTCTGCTAGTTTTTATGTGAAGAAATTCCCGTTTCCAACGAAGACCTCAAAGAGGTCCAAATATCCACTTGCAGATTCTACAAAGAGTGTTTCAAAACAGCTCTATCAAGTGGAGTGTTCAACTCTGTGAATTGAATGCAAACATCACAAAGTTTCTTAGAAAGCTTCCGTCCTGTTTTCATTGGAAGTTATTTCCTTTTCTACAATAGGCCTCAAAGTTATGTAAATACACACTTACAAATTCTACAAAAAGAGTGTTTCAAACCTGCTCTATCAAAAGAAAGTTTAAATTTTGTGAGTTGAACACACACATCACAAATTAATTTCTGAGAATGAGTCTGTCTTGTTTTTATAGGAAGATATTTCCTTTTCTACAATAGGCCTCATAGCCCTCAAAATATTTACTTGGAAATTCTACAAAAAGAGTGTTTCAAAACTGCTCTATCGAAAGGAAGGTTCAACTCTGTGACTTGAATGCACACATCACAAAGAAGTTTCTGAGAATTCTTCTGTCTAGTTTTATATGAAGAAATCACTTTTCCAGAGAAGCCCTCAAAGAGATGTAAATAACCACTTGCAGATTCTACAAAAAGAGTGTTTCAAAACTGCTCTATTAAGAGGAATGTTCAACTCTGTGAGTTGATGCAAACATCACAAAGTAGTTTCTGAGAATGCTTCTGTCTAGTTTTTATGTGAAGATATTTCCTTTTCTTGCATAGGCCTCAAAGCGATCTAAATATACACTTGCAAATTCTACAAAAAGAGGGTTTCAAAACTGCTCTATCAAAAGAAAGGATAAACTCTGTGAGTTGAAAGCACACATCACAAAGTAGTTTCTGATAATGATTCTGTCTAGTTTTTATATGAGATATTTCCTTTTCTACCATAGGCCTCAAAGCACTCTAAATTTCCACTAGGAAATTCTACAAAAAGAATGTTTCGAAACTGCTCTATCGGAAGGAAGGCTCAACTCGTGAGTTGAATGCACACAGCGGAAAGAAGTTTCTGAGAATTCTTCTGTGTAGTTTTATATGAAGAAATCCCTTTTCCACCGAAGGCCTCAAAGAGGTCCAAATATCCACTTGCAGATTCTACAAAAAGAGTTTTTCAAAACTGCTCTATCAAGAGGAATGTTCAACTCTGTGAGTTGAATGCAAACATCCCATAGTAGTTTCTGAGAATGCTTCTGTCTAGTTTTTATGTGAAGATATTTCTTTTTCTACCAAAGGCCTCAAAGCGCTCTAAGTATAAACTTTCAAATCCTACATAAAGAGTGCTTCAAAACTGTTCTATCAAAAGAAAAGTTAAACTTTGTGAGTTGAACGCACACATCACAAAGTAGTTTCTGAGAATGATTCTGTCTTGTTTTATATGAAGATATTACCTTTTCTACCTTAGGCCTCAAAGCCCTCTAAATAGCCACTTGGAAATTCTACAAAAAGAGTGTTTCAAAACTGCTCTATTGAAAGGAAGGTTCAACTCTGTGAGTTGAATGCACACATCACAAAGAAGTTTCTGAGAATTCTTCTGTCTACTTATAAATGAAAAAATTGTCTCCAAAGAAGGCCTCAAAGAGGTCCAAATATCCACTTGCAGATTCTACAAAAAGACTGTTTCAAAACTGCCCTATCAAGAGGAATGTACAACTCTGTGAGTTGAATGAAACTTCACCAATTAATTTCTGAGAATGCTTCTGTCTAGTTTTTATGTGAAGATATTTCCTTTTTTACCGTAGGCCTCAAAGTGCTCTAATATCCACTTGCGAATTCTTCAAAAAGAGTGTTTCAAAACTGCTCTATCAAAAGGAAGGTTAAATACTGTGAGTTGAACGCACACATCACAAAGTAGTTTCGTAGAATGATTTTGTCTAGTTTTTATATGAAGATATTTCCTTTTCTACCATAGGCCACAAAGCACTCTAAATATCCACTTGCAAATTCAACAAAAAGAGAGTTTCAAAACTGCTCTATCGAAAGGAAGAATCAACTCTGTGAGTTGAATTCACACATCACAAAGAAGTTTCTGAGAATTATTCTGTCTAGTTTTTATATGAAGAAATTCCCGTTTCCAACGAAGCCCTCAAAGAGATCCTAATATCCACTTGCAGATTCTGCAAAAAGAGTGTTACAAATCTACTGTATCAAAAGAAATGTTCAACTCTGTGAGTTGAATGCAAACATCACAAAGTAGTTTCTGAGAATGCTTCTGTGTAGTTTTTCTATGAAGATATTTCCTTTTCTACCATAGGTCCCAAAGCGCTCTAAATATCCACTTGCAAATTCTACAAATAGAGTGTTTCAAAACTGCCCTATCAAAAGGAAGGTTCAAATCTGTGAGTTCAGCTCAGACATCACAAAGAAGTTTCTGAGAATACTTCTTCCTACTTTTTCTGTGAGGATACTCCCATTTCAAAAGAAGGCCTCAAATCGCTCCAGATACCCATTTGCAGACTTTAAAGAGTGTTTCAAAACTGCTCTATCAAAAGAAAGATTAAACTATGTGAGTTGAACACACACATCACAAAGTAGTTTCTGAGAATGATTCTGTCTAGTTTTTCTATGAAGATATTTCCTTTTCTAAAATAGGCCTCAAAGCGCTCTAAATATCCAATTGCAAATTCTACAAAAAGAGTGTTTCCAAACTGCTCTATCAAAAGGAAGGTTGAAATTTCTGAGTTGAGTGCAGACAACACAAGGAAATTTCTGAGAATACTTCTGTCTACTTTTTATGTGAACATACTGCCGTTTCGAAAGAACGCCTAAAAGATATCCAAATATCCACTTGCAGACGTTACAAACAGAGCGTTTCAAAACTGCTCTATCAAAAGAAAGGTTAAACTCTGTGATTTGAACGAACACATCACAAAGCAATTTCTGAGAATGATTCTGTCTAGTTTTTATATGAAGATATTTCCTTTTATACCTTCAAAGCGCTCTAAATATCCACTTAGAAATTCTTCAAAAAGAGTGTTTCAAAACTGCTCTATCAAAAGTTAGGTTCAACTCTGTGAGTCGAATGCACACATCCAAAAAGTTTCTGAGAATTCTTCTGTGTAGCTTTTACGTGAAGAAATTCCTGTTTCCAACGAAGGCGTCAAAGAGGTCTAAGTATCCTCTTGCAGATTCTACAAAAAGAGTGTTTCAAAACTCCTCTATCAAAAGGAATGTTCACCTCTGTGAGTTGAATGCAAACATCACAAAGTTGTTTCTGAGAATGCTTCTGTCTAGTTTTTGTGTGAAGATATTTCCTTTTCTACCATAGGCCTCAAAGCGCTATAAATATACACTTGCAAATTCTACAAAAAGAGTGTTTCAAAAGTGTTATATCAAAAGAAAGCTTAAACTCTGTGAGTTGAAGGCACACATCACAAACTAGTTTCTGAAAATGATACTGTCTAGTTTTTATATGAAAATATTTCCTTTTCTACCATAGGCCTCAAAGGGCTCTAAATATCCACTTGGAAATTCTACAAAAAGAGTGTTTCAAAGCTGCTCTATTGAAAGGCACTTTCAAATCTCTGAGTTGAATGCACACATCACAAAGAAGTTTCTGAGAATACTTCTGTCTACTTTTTATGTGAAGATATTCCCGTTTTCAAAGAAGGCCTCAAAGCGCTACAAATATCTACTTGCAGAATTTACAATCAGAGTGTTTCAAAACTGCCCTAACAAAAGAAAGTTTAAATGGTGTGTGTTGAACGCACACATAACAATGTAGTTTCTGAGAATGATTCTGTCTAGTTTTCATATGAAGATATTTCCTTTTCTAACATACGCTTCAAAGCGCTCTAAATATCCAATTGCAGATTCTACAAAAAGAGTGTTTCAAAACTGCTCTATCAAACGGAACGTTGAATTCTGTGAGTTGAATGCAAACATTTCAAGGTAGTTTCTGAGAGTGCTTCTGTCTAGTTTTTATGTGAAGATATTTCCTTTTCTACCAGAGGCCTAAAAGCCCTGTAAATACACACTTGCCAATTCGGTGAAAACAGTGTTTCAAAACTGCTCTATCAAGAGAAAGGTCTTTTGATTGAACGCACACATCACAAGGTAGTTTCTGAGAATGATTCTGTCTAGTTTTTTATGAAGATATTTTTTTTTCTACCATAGGCCTCATTACGCTCTACATTTTCACTTGGAAATTCTACAAGAAGAGTGTATTGAAATTGCTCTATCGAAAGGAAGGTTTAACTCTGTGAGTTGAAGGCACACATCAAAAAGAAGTTTCTGAGAATTCTTCTGTCTAGTTTTATATGAAGAAATCTCGTTTCCAACGAAGGCCTCTAAGAGGTCCAAATATCCACTTGCAACCTTTACAAAAAGAGTGTTTCAAAACTGCTCTATCAAAAGGAAGGTTAAACTCTGTGAGTTGAACGCACACATTGCATAGTAGTTTCTGAGAATGATTCTGTCTAGTTTTTCTATGAAGATATTTCCTTTTGTAACATACGCCACAAAACACTCTAAATATCCACTTGCAAATTCTACAAAAAGGGTGTTTCAAAACTGCTCTATCAAAAGGATGGTTCAAATCTGTGAGTTGAATGCAGACATCACAAAGAAGTTTCTGAGAATACTTCTGTCTACTTTTTATGTGAATATACTCCTGTTTCCAAGAATGCCTCAAAGTGCTCCAAATATCCACTTGCAGCCTTTACAAACAGAGTGTTTCAAAACTGCTATAGCAAAAGAAAGATTAAACTCCGCAAGTTGAACGCACACATCACAAAGTAGTTTCTGAGAAAGATTCTGTCTAGTTTTTAGATGAGGATATTAACTTTTCTACCATACGTTTCAAAGTGCTCTTTATATCCACTTGGAAATTCTACAAAAAGAGGGTTTCAAAGCTGTTCTATGAAAAGGAAGTTTCAACTCTGTGAGTTGAATGCACACATCAAAAACTTTCTGAGAATTCTTCTGTCTAGTTTTTATGTGAAGAAATTCCCGTTTCCAATGAAGGCCTAAAATAGTTCCAAATATCCACTTGCAGATGTTACAAAACGAGTGTTTGAAAACTGTTCTATCAGGAGGAATGTTCAACTCTGTGTGTTGAATGCAAACATCAGAAATTAGTGTCTGAGAATGCTTCCCTCTAGTTTTTTGTGAAATTTCCTTTTCTACCATAGGCCTCAAAACACTCTAAATATACACCTGCAAATTCTACAGAAAGGCTGTTTCAAAACTACTCTATCAAAAGAAAGGTTAAACTCTGTGAGTTGAACGCACACATCACGAAGTAGTTACTGAGAATGATTCTGTCTAGTTTTTCTATGAAGATATTTCCTTTTCTAGCATAGGCCTCAAAGCCCTCTAAAGATCCGCTTGGAAATTCTACAAAAAGGCTGTTTCAAAACTGCTCTATCAAAAGAAAAGTTAAACTCTGTGAGTTGAACACACACATCACAAAGTAGTTACTGAGAATGATTCTGTCTAGTTTTTCTATGAAGATATTTCCTTTTCTAACATAGGCTTCAAAGCGCTCTAAATATCCACTTGGAAATTCTACAAAAAGACTGTTTCAAAACTGCTCTATCGAAAGGAAGGTTCAACTCTGTGAGCTGAATGCAAACATCACAATAAGTTTCTCAGAATTCTTTGGTCTAGTTTTACATGAAGAAATCTCATTTCCAACGAAGGCCTCAAAAAAGTTGAAAATATCCCCTTTCAGATATTACAAAAAGAGTGTCTGAAAACTGCTCTATCAAGAGGAAAGGTCAACTCTGTAAGTTGAATGCAAACATCACCAAGTAGTTTCAGAGAAGGTTTCTGTCTAGTTTTTATGTGAAGATATTCCCTTATCTATCATAGGCCTCAAAGCGCTCTAAATATACACTTGCAAATTCCACAAAAAGAGCGTTTCAAAACTGCTCTATCAAAGGAAGGTTAAACTTTGAGAGTTGAACTCACACATCACAAAGTAGTTTCTGAGAATGATTCTGCCAAGTTTTTCTATGAAGATATTTCCTTTTCTACCATAGGTTTCAAACTGCTCTAAATATCCACTTGGAAATACTACAAAAAGAGTGTTTCAAATCTGCTCTATTGAAAGGAAGGTTCAACCCTGTGAGTTGAATGCAAACATCACAAAGAAGTTTCTGAGAATTCTTCTGTCTAGTTTTATACGAAGAAATCCCATTTCCAACGAAGGCCTCAAAAAGTTCCAAATATCCACTTGCAGATTCCACAAAAAGAGTGTTTCAAAACTGCTCTATCAAGAAGAATGTTCAACTCTGTGAGTTGAATGCAAACATCACAAAGTAGTTTCTGACAATGATTCTGTCTAGTTTTAATAGGAAGATATTTCCTTTTCTACCATTGGCCTCAAAGCGCTCTAAATATACACTCTCAAATTCAACAAAAAGAGTGTTTCAAAACTGCTGTATCAAAAGAAAAGTTAAACTATGAGAGTTAAACGCACACATCACAAAGTAGTTTCTGAGAATGATTCTGTCTAATTTTATATGAAGACATTTCCATTTCAACCATAGGCTTCAAAGCGCTCTAAATATCCACTTGCAAATTCTAGAAAAAGAGGGTTTCAAAACTGGTCTATCAGAAGGAAGTTTCGACTGTGTGCAGCCATCATGAAGAAGTTTCTGAGAATACTTCTGTCTACTTTTTATGTGAAGACATTCCCGTTTCCAAAGAAGGCCTCAAAGCGCTCCAAATATCCACTTCCAGACATTGCAAACAGAGTGTTTCAAAACTACTCTATCAAAAGAAAGGTTAAACTCTGTGAGTTGAAAGCACACATCACAAAGTAGTTTCTGAGAATGATTCTGTCTGTTTTTTATATGAAGATATTTACCTTTCTAACATAGGCTTCAAAGCAATCTAAATATTCACTTAGAAATATTACAAAAAGAGTGTTTCAAAACTGATCTATCAAAACAAATGTTGATCTCTGTGAGTTGAATGCAAACATCCCCAAGTAGTTTCTAAGAATGCTTCTGTCTAGTTTTTATGTGAAGATATTCCCTTTTCTACCGTAGGCCTCAAAGCCCTCTAAATACACACTTGCAAATACTACAAAAAGAGCGTTTCAAAACTGCTCTATCAAAAGCAAGGTTAAAGTCTGTGGGTTGAACGGACACATCACAAAGTAGTTTTTGAGAATGATTCTGTCTGGTTTTTCTGTGAAGATATTTCCTTTTCTACAATTGACCTCAAAGCGCTGTAAATATTCACTTGGAAATTCTAGAAAAAGAGTGTTTCAAACTGCTCTTACCAAAGGGGGGTTCAAATCTGTGAGTAGAATGCACACATCACAAAGAAGTTTCTGTGAATTCTTCTGTCTAGTTTTTATATGAAGAAATTTCTGTTTCCAACGAAGGCCTCAAAGAGGTCCAAATATCCACTTGCAGATACTACAAAAAGAGTATTTCAAAACTGCTCTATCAAGAGGATGTTCAACTCTGTGAGTTGAATGCAAACATCAAAAAGTAGTTTCTGACAATGCTTTTGTGTAGTTTTTATGTGAAGATATTTCATTTTCTACCATAGGCCTCAAAGCGCTCTAAATATACACTTGCAAATTCTACAAAAAGAGTGTTTCAAAACCTGCTCTATCAAAAGAAAGTTTAAACTCTGTGAGTTGAACGCACACATCATAAAGTAGTTTCTGAGAATGCTTCTGTGTAGTTTTTCTATGAACATATTTACTTTTCCACCATGGGCCCCGAAGCACTCTAAATATCCAATTGCAAACACTACAAAAAGTGTGCTTCAAAACTGCTCTATCAAAAGGAAGGTTAAAATCTGTGAGTTCAGTGCAGACATCACAAAGAAGTTTCTGAGAAAACTTCTGTCTACTTTTTATGTGAAGATATTCCCGTTTCCAAAGAAGGACTCAAAGGGCTCCAAATACCCACTTGCAGACTTACAAACAGATTGTTTCAAAACTACTCTATCAAAAGAAAAGTTAAACTCTGTGAGTTGAATGCCCACATCACAAAGTGGTTTCTGAGCATGATTCTGTCTAGTTTTCATATGAAGATATTTCCTTTTCTATCATAAGCTTGAAAGCGCTCTAAGTATACACTTGGAAATTCTACAAAAAGAGTTTTTCAAAACTGCTCATAGAAAGGAAGGTTCAACTCTGTGAGTTGAATGCCCATAATACAAAGATGTTTCTGAGAATTCTTCTGTCTAGTTTTATGTGAAGAAATCCCGTTTCAAACGAAGGCCACAAAAAGGTCCAATTATCCACATGTGAATTCTACAGAGTGCTTCCAACTTGCTCTATCAAGAGGAATGTTCAACTCTCTGAGTTGAATGCACACATCACAAAGAAGTTTCTGAGAATCCTTCTGTCTAGATTTATATGAAGAAATCCCGTTTTCAATGAAGGCCTGAAAATGATCAAAATATACACTTGCAGATACTACAAAAAGAGTGTCTCAAAACTGCTCTATCAAGAGGAATGTTCAACTCTGTGAGTTGAATGCAAACATCACAAAGTAGTTTCTGAGAATGCCTCTGTCTAGTTTTTGTGGAAAGGTATTTCCTTTTCTACCATAGGCCTCAAAGCGTTCTAAATATACATTTGCAAATTCTACAAAAAGAGTGTTTCAAAACTGCTCTATCAAAAGAAAGGTTAAACTCTGTGAGATGAATGCACACATCACGAAATAGTTTCTGAGATTGGGTCTGTGTAGTTTTTCTATGAACGTATTTACTTTTCCACCATAGGCCACAAAGAGGTCCAAATATACACTTGCAGATTCTACAAAAAGAGTGTATCAAAACTGCAGTATCAAAAGAAATGTTGAACTCTGCGTTGAATGCACACATCACAAAGTAGTTTCTGAGAATGCTTCTGTCTAGTTTTTATGTGAAGATATTTCCTTTTCTATCATAGACCTCAAAGCCCTCTAAAAACACACATGCAAATTCTACAAAAAGAGCGTTTTCAAAACTGCTCTATCAAAAGAAAGGTTAAACTCTGTGAGTTGAACGCACACATCACAAATAGTTTCTGAGAATGATTCTGTCTAGTTTTTCTATGAAGATATTTCCTTTTCTAACACAGGCCTCCAAGTGCTCTAAATATTCACTTGGAAATTCTAAAAAAAGAGTGTTTCAAAACTGCCCTATCGAAAAGAAAGTTCAACTCTGTGAGTTGAATGCCCAAATCACAAATAAGTTTCTGAGAATTCTTCTGTCTAGTTTTATATGAAGAAATCCCGTTTCCAACGAAGGCCTCAAAGAGGCCCAAATATCCACTAGCAGATACTACAAAAAGAGTGTTTCAAAACTGCACTATCAAGAGGAATTTTCAACACTCTGAGTTGAATGCAAACATCACGAACTAGTTTCTGACAATGCTTCTGTCTAGTTTTTATGTGAAGGTATTACCTTTTCTACCATAGGCCTCAAAACGTTCTAAATATACACTTGCAAATTCCACAAAAAGAGTGTTTCAAAATTGCACTATCAAAAGAAAGGTTAAACTCTGTGAGATGAACGCACACATCACAAAGAACTTTCTGAGAATTCTTCTGTGTAGTTTTTCTATGAACATATTTCCTTTTCCACCATAGGCCACAAAGCACTCTAAATATCCACTTGCAAATTCTGCAGAAAGAGTGTTTCAAAAATGCTCTATCAAAAGGAAGTTTCAACTCTGTGAGTTGAATGCAGACATCACAAAGAAGTTTCTGAGAATACTTCTGTCTACTTTTTATGTGAAAATACTCCTGTTTCCAAAGAAGGCTTCAAAGCGCTCCAAAAGTCTGCTTGCAGACTTTTCAAATAGAGTATTTCAAAACTGCTCTATCAAAAGAAAGGTTACACTCTGCGTGTCGAACGCACACATCACAAAGTAGTTTCTGAGAATGATTCTGTACAGTTTTTATATGAAGATATTCCCTTTTCTAACATAGGCCTCAAAGGGCTCTAAATATCCACTTGCAAATTCTACAAAAAGAGTGTTTCAAAACTGCTCTTTCAAAAGGAAGGTTGAACTCTGTGAGTTGAGTGCAGACATCACAAAGAAGTTTCTGAGAATGCTTCTGTCTAGTTTTTATGT